>NC_000010.11:19706969-19858484 GCF_000001405.40 Homo sapiens | reverse complement strand
ATTTGGTGTAAGTTCACTGCAATCTTTAAGCAAAAGGGAGAATGATTTCAAGAATTCTTCCCTTCATTTATTCAACAAGTATTCGTTGAACACTACTTTGTTCTTGAAACTGCACCAAACACTGCAGATTTCGGTTTGAAAAAGGAGTAGATAGTACACCTCAGGAGCCCACAGTTAAGCGGGAGACAGCAGGTTAGCTGCATGGTGCAGGTTCCTGGCAGATAAATGAGCATAGAAAGAATGAGTGATGAAGGAGGGTAATTTGGGGGACTACAGCCACCCGAGGGAGATTTTTGCTTGAAAATTTGTCCCCAGAAATCAGCAACTCTAAACTGTTCTTGCTATTCATATCTTCTGTCCTTTTTCCACTGCTGGTTCTGTTCCTCCAAGAGGCCAGATGAGCGTTTGGCCAACCTAGCTGCATGTTGCTCCCAAACAACAGTAATAAAAGCAAACAGATGAACGGGAAGTCATTTATAATTTCAAGAACATATTTATGTAAGTCAAACAACAGGCAAGTCCAATTTTTAAAAGTCTCCCAACAAATATATTTAAAATGCCAAAACCACCAATTCTTAGAGAAAATAAATAGTATTTTAAATATTTTGATGATGAATCAATTGCCCATGGATTTGTTGATTCATTATAAATTGGGTAAATAAGATTTCTTTACATCTACTCCTATGGATATTATTCTACTCCCACAAATAATACTTCAGAACCCAAGCGTGTCCAGCCACTGAAGGGAATGGAGAACAGGCATATATTTTAGCACATCTCTAATGTCTTTGTTAGTTTCCTATTTGAACTCTGCGCCATGATGCAATTTGCTTCTTCAAACTGTGCAGCCCATACCAATACATGGATACAAACTTTACAAATTGGAAAAAGAAAGGTCTGACAATGAACCCTTCAGACAATTGCCACTAACTAGAAAAATTGTTCATCTATACCTTTTCTAGATATCTTCTAAATTGATGAGAAGAATATTTAAGTATATGAATAATTCTTGGTTAAAAAAGTACACAAATATAAATGATTCATTTCTATCTGAAGTTCTAATTAGGAGTACAAATGATCTTATCCCTCAGTTGATTGGGTTCAGTTTGCAATTTTAATATTAATACAGCTTTAAGAAGTGTGTCGGTTGCAGATGTAGAGGACAGCGAGAGAGGATTTAGTTCTAGGCCATTTTGGTTTTCTCCTGTCATTGAAATCTAAAAAGTGAATAGTGTTAATTATATTGTGGGAAGCTGAAATAAATAATAAAATGACTTCCTATTTAGTGAGGGTCTTGACTAGCTCTGTAACTTGCTAGCTGTAGAACTTTAGGCAAGTAACTTAATTTTGTACACCTTAGCTCCCTCAGTTGTAAACTAGGTAACTTGTTGCTTCTTGTGAAAGTTTAATAAAATAGTCTACTTAAAGGGCATGGCTGAACATCTGCCATACAAGTGTTTAATAAATTATGACTATTATTATTTGTCACTTTAAAAATAAAAGAGCCACAGCAGAAACTCAGTTTGCATGATTCTAATTATTTTGTACATATCTATCTTCCCTGATGATTTCCAGTAAGGAAATGATTTCAGCAATGATTGATTTCTTTATCCCTGTAACCACGGTATGATGTATCTTCAAGGATGCAATTAAAAAAGATATTTAAGAACGCTTGTGAAATAAGAAGTAATGGAAAATAAATAAAAAGTCTTCAGAACTCTCAAATTTTTAGTACAAGTTGTTTTGATTTCCCCCATTTATTCATGTCTGGAAACAGTTTATTTTCGGTATGGAGAAAGCAGATGAAATGTGTGAAATGCCAGTGTTGAGCTGTCAGGGCCAGGAAAGACAGGGATGTAAAAAGACGAAATGAGCATCAAAACTCTGAACAAAGCCTGAATCCTTGCTGCGCTTACAGTGATTGACTAATGCTTCTCAAACTCAACGTGAACTTTTTGGAGAAAGTTCTCAATGCCCATCTCTGGGTCCAAGTTCATCACAGACCATCAAACTGGCAGATGATGATGTCTGGCAAACCAAGTTTATTATAAGGAGAGCTGACATTGTGTGAGTGTGTGTGTGTGTGTGTGTGTGTGTGTGTGTGTCTGTGTGTGTGTGTTTGTGTGTGTATAAAGCTTCCACTGTGAGTTATCTTTAATAAAAATCACTTTTATTAGTATAATGTTATCATGCCAAAGCCTAAAAGCAAAAAAATAGAAAAAGACAAAGATCGAGAAAAGCATATATATGTAAACAATAAATAGTTCACAAAACATTCTACACTATTAGTAAATATATGAATTGACAAAATACCTCTGATTTATAAAATCTGACATACCCAGTTTTTAAATAGCACCCAATTTATTTTTGTTTTTGTTTTTTTATTTTTGGAGACAGAGTCTTACTCTATCACCCAGCCTGGAGTGCAGTGGCACGATCTTGGCTCACTGCAACCTCCACCTCCCAGGTTCAAGCAATTCTCCTGCCTCAGCCTCCCAAGTAGCTGGGATTACAGGCACCTGCCACCAGGCCTGGCTAATTTTTTATATATGTATATTTTTTTAGTACAGATGGGATTTCACCATGTTAGCCAGGATGGTCTTGATCTCCTGACTTCATGATCTGCCTGCCTTGGCCTCCCAAAGTGCTGGGATTACAGGCGTGAGCCACCGAGCCCGGCCTAATGGCACACAATTTTTGAATACTTGCTTTGTTGTAGGCACTAAACTATGCCCATTATATTAGTTTATTTAATATAGATTGAGCATTCCAAATTTGAAAATCCCAAATCCAAAATACTCCAAAATCCAAAACTTTCTGAGGGCTGACATGATGCTCAAAGGAAATGTCCATTGGAGAATTTTAGATTTCAGATATTTAGGTTAGGGATGCTGAACCTCTAAGTATAATGCAAATATTCCAAAATCTGAAAAATATGAAACCAGAAACACTTCTACTCCCAAGAATTTCAGATAAAGAACATTCAATCTGTACTAAAAGTTTTACAAAAGAAGAAGTGAAGGTTTAGACAGTTCAAATAAATTGCCTGAAGGTACACAGAAATAAGAGGTAGACCTAGGACTCAAATCCAGTTCTGTTTGATTCCATAAATAAAAATATCTAAGGGGGGAAAAGTGAAAAAACCTCCATTTCAAGGACTTCAAAAGCCAACCATTGACGATAATTTGAAATGACACCAGCCTTTGATGGGCCTGGTACCTCTGATATATTAACACAGAACAACAACAACAACAACAAAATCGTATTTGAGTTTTAATTACTTGTGTATTTATACAGTTCTCTCATAAAAACTCATTTCTACTACTAAGTCTCCAAAATTATATTCAACAAACATGTGTTGTATGAACCAGGCACAATTCTAGGCTTGTTGGATATATTTATAAATAAAACAAAGATCCCTGCCCTGAAGTAATTTACATTTTAGTCCCATCACAGTTGAATCTATTCATAGTAATAACAAAAGTGATTTTAAGAACTGTGGGAGATTTCTTCAAATTGAGATATATAAAAATATTTTAAATGAATGCTGAGCTGATTCTAACAACTGTACACATGTTTCCAATATAACACATTTTTCTCGCAGTGGAAAACTGTTATAAAAATGGTGGCCAGGCTCACAGATGTGTGTCTACTCCATAAACTATCAGGACTGGGGTGACTATGTGAAATTTGCCCCTGGCACTCTCCAACACCTCCCCTGGAGTTCCTGGGACTCCTCTTTCCCAGGGGCACCAATTACCCAAAGACACTGGCGTTTCTGGAAGGCCAGGCTAGGCTGGAATTGCAACTAAAAGACAGGAACTGAGGTTTTTTTTAACTTCGCTTGCCAAATAAAATATTAAATTAACCTTATAATGTAAAAAAAAATCTAGGTCTTGCGTCTACATGAACATTTCTCAACCAAGATATTTTGGGTTGGATAATTGTTGTAGGGCACTGTCCTGTGTATAGCAGCTGGTCTAGTAGAATCTCTGGCCTCTACTCACTAGACACCAGTAGCACCCCTCAAGTTGTGACCACCTCAAATGTCTCCAGCCATTGCCATATGGCCCCTGGGAGGCAAAATTGCCTTGGGTTGATAGCCACTGATTTATATTAAAAACAACATATCTAGGACTTTTGTCTGCTATAGTTTAGGCTAGTCTGGTTGTTGTGGAAAGACAAATGGGTGTTTTCTTTTAAGATGCTATCATTTCAGGCAATTATGTAGAGACTGTCCTAAACACAGTTTATATGATGTCCCGATCTGCTCAGGCCACTTGCCTCCCAGGCCTCATCCACTCGCCCTGCTGCAGGGGAGAGCAGCCCCCAGAAATTCCAGCCAGTCTGATAGCACATGTAAGACACCCAGTTGTGGCTGTGATAGCCTTGTCTCCTGTCACTACGGTAAATGCAGTCTCCCCGGGGGGTCAAGGGCCAGCATTCTGTGCTGATTCCATGGCACCCACCACAGTGGGAGTCACAACACCTCCGGTGCCCAGGTCTGACTCAACCAGAATCAGGGAAATGCTGGTTTCTGCAGAGCCTGTGCAGAGGGCCAGAGTAAATAAAGGGGAGTCAAAGCCTTCTGGGGTAAATTTGGACCAAAGAGACACAAAAGATGGGAGAAGCCAGAAAAGAAATTGATCCACATAAAGATATATTCCAAGATTTGTTCATTTCCAACAACCTGGCAGGAGACACAACCTGTGGAACCAAGCACCCAGCTATATTTCCTTATGAAACCGTGGCCTTTCATTTACTGTGTCTCTTCACCCCTCATTTTCACTCTGTCTTCACTCTAGTTTTCGAGAAATTGCAACCCCCCCCCCACCCAAAGCAGCATTGGAAAGTTAACTCAAGTTCAGTGTTCTAGAGATCCTGAATGAGATAGAAACTCGAAGGGGAAAGAGAAGAGGAATAAGGAGAGGCTGGGGGTGGTGCCCCACACTTGTAATCCCAACACTTTGAGAGGGCGAGGCAGGCAGATCCCTTGAGACCAGGAGTTCAATATCAGCCTTGGCAACATAGCGAGACCTCATCTATACAAAAATAAATAAATAAATAAAAATTAAAATTAAAAAATAAAAATAAAGGAGGAGAAACAGAAGGAAGAAATTTGTTATAGCAAAGTGGTAAAATCTAATTACAACACATGCACTCTTCAGCAAAGAGAAAATAATGTTCACATTCTTTGCAGTTCTTATTCAATAAGCAATATAAGAATAATCAGTATTGCTTCTAATGAACTGTGATACTTAATGTAAGAACAAAACAAAGGCATTACTCACTTTAAGTCCTACAGTTTCAGATAATAAATGGTTCCACATTAGATACCTTGTCCCTTCCTTCAGCCTTTTAAAACTGTACTCTATTTTCTGTATTATCTTTATCTGTAACCTTTATTGAGCAACTGAAAGAATGAATCTCAAAGTAGTTAAATAAATGGCTTTCTTGAATTGTGTCCAAGATTCAAATTACCTTGATTAGTTTGTGTCTGCAAAATTAGTAAAAAGTATTTTCACTTAGCCTGGTGATGATTATATTGCCTATTTTATTGTGCCAGACTAAGAACATGATTGAGTTAGAACTATCAGTACAATTTGAAGAGATCAAAAAATATTTTTACACAATCAGATTCCTTTACTTAATAATTGACTTGTGGTAACGTTCTCACCTCAGAAGCGTCTTGCAATGGGCACTATTCTGTAGACTAGACAAAATAATAAACTCCATCATAAAAACACAGATTTTTTATTAACTAAATGGCACAAAGTCCACGATATCATCCATTTGGCTGAATATGTGTTTTGATGTGATTATCCATCATTTGCATATTATATAATTATCTATAGTCAACAAACTTTGTGGAATATGAGGTGGAACAGTATCACCATGGCTGAAAAACTTTGTTTTCTAGAATCCATTTGTATTTCTCATTTTTCAGTGATTTGAAATCTTTTCCACTGAACTTAGAACAATCCTCAAGGTTTAATATGCAAAGGAGCCTATTGAAAACTTTTTTTTTTTTTTTTTTTTTTTTTTTTTTTTTTTTTTTTGAGACAGGGTCTTGCTCTGTCACCCAGACTGGAGTGCAGTGATGCAATGTGGGCTCACTGCAGCCTCAATCTCCTGGGCTTAAGGGATCCTCCTACCTGGTACCACAACCTCCTAGGCTCAAGGGATCCTCCTAGCTGGCACCACAGGCATGAGCCAGCATGCCTGGCTAATTTTTTAATTTGTTGTAGAGATGGGGTCTCACCGTGTAGCCCAGGCTGGTCTCGAAATCCTGGTCTCAAGTATCCTCTTGCCTCAGGCTCCCAAAATGCTGGGATTACATGTGTGAGCCACCATGCCCAGCCTTGATAAATGGTTTACAATGCAGATCCTCGTTCAGTAGGTCTGCAGAGATTCTGCCTTTCTCAGTAACTCCCAAGTGAAACTGATGTTGCTATGGACCACACTTTGAACAAGATCCTAGATTACCTTTCTGTGGCCTGATCCAGTATTTTCTCTTATCCCTGAATGTCAATGTCAGGCTCTTTATTGATTAAAATCACTGCTCCTTACTATCACCATCTGCTGGTTTTCACTCAGGTCTGACTACCTTGGCTTCTTCAAAGAATAAGAGAAAAGATGCCAGGTGCAGTGGCTCATGCCTGTAATCCCAGCACTTTGGGAGGCCAAGGAGGGTGGATTGCTTGAGGCCAGGAGTTTGTGACCAGCCTGGCCAACACCGTCAAACCAGGTTTTTACCAAAAATACAAAAAAATTAGCTGGGTATGGTGGTGCATGCCTGTAATTCCAGCTACTGGGGAGGCTGAGACATGAGAATCACTTGAACCCAGGAGGTGGAGGTTGCAGTGAGCCAAGATTGTGCCACTGCACTCCAGCCTGGGTAACAGAGCGAGACTCTGTCTCAAAAACATAAAAATAAAAATAAATGAGAGAAAAGAGCTGAAGGAAAGTGTGGGTTACCCCAGCTCTCTTGATTGGTCATATGCCCCGTCAAAGACAGCTTCTCAGAGTCATAAATGGTTACTGACAAGAGAGGTACTAAAACATGTGAGGAGGGGTAAGTTGCAGGCAAGAAATCTTTGTCAAATCTACGAATTGTTAAGTGTAACTACTGCTTAAAAAACAACAACAACAAAAACCCTAAATATTTTAAGAACTAGAAATGCTACAATTCAGGTCAAATGAACAAATATGTCTTGAGAGGTTATTATAGGAAAGGCCCTAATCTATGTTACTTTATTCCTTTGGATGATGACAATGGAGCAAGAGAAAAGCAATCTTCCTGAGATTTGACCTTCCTTGGAAAGAATAATTGTTCCCCATCTATGTCCAAAACCATAGCACTGTGAAGACATCACTATTTATTACCCTTATCAATGTCATAAAATACTTTGTTTTTATATCTAGTTTTGCCCATTTATCATAAAATCCTTTATTTTGAACACTTCAAAAGCAAGAAGTAGGTCTTGTGATTCCTTAAATCTTCTGGGGTTACATACCTGAATGCTTGGCATGTTGTAAGCATTCAACAAAATGTTTGTGAAAGCAAATTGAATGACATGCAGAGTCTGCTATTTTTGAAGCAGAGAGCCCTCTGAGTTCCAACAGCACAGGACTCTGGGCTTTATGGCTGAATCCATTTTTTACTTAGCTCCAGGTCTGGGGTTGCCATTTGAGAACACTGAGTAAGCCCTGATTTGCTTTCTTATCTGCTACTTGGAAATGCATTAAAATTCATGTCTTTCCTAAAGTGCAGTGTACAGGATATTTTATTTAAAATGCATATTTTGGTGGCGCTTATAAAGAATTTAACAGATAGTAATTTAAATGCAGGTTGTTTGCTTTAGAGTCTCTTAGTATGGGTGTGTAAGTGGTGGACATGGAGGAACCAATTAGACGATTAGTTGGGTCTCTCGTGATGAAACGTTCATGAGATACTAATCTTTTTAGCAAATTTGCTTTGCATTTTGCCTTTTAATTATAATGCCCAATAAAAGGAGTACAGGTTCAAAAGTTTTAAGAACATCGTCTATAAACAACTCAGCTAACTTCTCGCTGAATATTATGAAGTACGGAGACTTTTACTAAAGGAAGTATTATTATTAGGTACTGAAAATTACTGCTGGGGAAAATACATATTTAATTTTTCCTTATTCAAAATGTGTGTGTATCTAAAAAAAAAAAAAAACCTATCAGTTAGGCAGGTGCAGTTTTCTCCTAGGTTAGATAAGGGATATTTCTAATTTAACTACACAGGACAAGGAAATTGACATGTAAAGCAATTATGTCAGTGAAGTCAGGCAGTGTGGTTAGCATTAAATAGCATCACCCACCCTCCTGACCATTGCTCTCTTTAGAGGGTGCAAAGTATATTGATGAATGTTGCTAAGGTGAGTGACAGTTACTGACTACCACCTTAGGTCAATCAAATTACCTTAATATAATTTAGGGAGTAAGGAAATGTAACATAGAGAACTACATTTAATGCTGCTAGAGATGGCCGTACTTGGACCATCCTCAAAGCCCACACCACAGGTGAAGCAGACCTCCCTTTAGGAAGAACTTTGGAAAATCTCTACTGCAATTTATTTTCTCCTACACTTTCTCCTACCACTAAGTGCCTATGTCTTTTTATAGTCCTTTAACTTCAAAATAACCCATCCCATCCATTCAAATAGGATAACAGATATAATATGTACTGTATTAGTCTGTTCTCACACTGCTATAAGAACATAATGGAGACTGAGTAATTTATCAAAGAAAGAGGTTTAATTGACTCATGGTTGTGCAGGGTTAGGGAGGCCTCAGGAAACTTACAATCATGGTGGAAGGGGAAGCAAACATGTCCTTCTTCACACGGCAGTGGCAAGGAGAAGCGCCAAGCAAAAGGGGGAAAGGCCCACTATAAAGCCATCAGATCACTATCATGGGATAGTGAATGAGTTCACATGAAGAACTGCCCCCATAATCTAATATCCTCTGACAAGGTCCCTCCCAAGACACGTGGGGATTATGGGAACTACGATTCAAGATGAGATTCGGGTGGGGCCACAGCCAAACTATATCATGTATCATATTATATTAGATTTCATTTTGTAGAATTAAGTTTTCATTAAAAAATTTGGTGACTTGTGTGTGTATGTGTGAGAGAGAGAGCGAGACAGAATACTTGTCTACATATACAGATCGTAGTTTATAATATACATCAATAAATTCACCACATGGAAAAGAAACATGCATTTGAATTATGTTATTGTTATTTATTTTTTATTTCCATTATCTACAATAAACTTGTTTCTTTTGTAATAAAAATACTATTCTTCACTTTTAAAACTATGTACATGTGTGGGTTGCAAAACTACTTGTATAAATTCCACAAATCCCTATGATTAAATAAAAAACAAGGGCATTGAAGGGTCATAAAGGAATTTAAAATTTCCTAAATATATGTGACACAAAATATTAATAGGATATTAATAGGACATTAACAGGGATTCCTTCGTCACATAATCAAATCTTCTCACTTAAAGTGAAAAACTTTTTTGTATCATTGCTCAATGTTGTAGCAATGAAGTGAAATCGTCTTTTCTGAAAGCTTCTTTTCATGAGATGAAGAGTGAGTTCATTAAAAAAACCTGCCATCCTCCCCTTCCAAAACCCTTACAGGCAAACAGCATCACTTCATGAAATTCAAGTGCAGCCAAAAAGAACAGCCTGTGGGTACAACACAGCCACAGGAAGGAGGATTGAAATCCTAGTGGGTACTTCGTGGAAATATTTGAAATTCTCTACTAACCTACATGGAAGATGTTTGGAAATTCAAGTTAACAACAATGACAACAGTTATTTCTTCTTTTGGTACTTTTGGTAAGTATTTTGAATGTATTTTAGCCATTTCCCTCCAATGCTTCAGGTGGTTCCCTCCCTCACCTAACCTGGATTTGTATTCGCATGGAAGAGGTTTTACAAACATCCTTAAGATTCAAGAACCCTCACTGGATGCCTCCTGCGTCAAGAAACCTGCTGGGGAACTGGTAGAAGTCACCAACAGATAGAGTCCCTCTCTTTTAAGAATTTGCAATGCATCTGCAGGGAGTAGAGGTAAGAGACACACACAGTGAAAACCACCAAACTGCAGAAACAGATGACAACAAAAACTGAGGCAAAGTGTCTAAAGAAAGGATCCATTCCATAAGGAAAAGCAGAGAACGCTTCCAGAAATAGGTACGTCTTGTGTCTCATTTTCATAGCGGCCATCTTCTAGGTGAAATGGCTTGCACTGAAAAAGCCAGGGAACACAACTGTTTCTTTTTTTTAATTAAAAAGAAATTTTATAGAGATGGGGTCTCAAAGTCCTGGGCTCAAGTGATCCTCCTGCCTCAGCCTCCTAAAATACTGGGATTACAGGCATGAGCCACCGCACCAGACTTCAATTTCTAATGTATGAAAATGGGATTCCATTGGGTAGGGGACTATTTTGTTCTAACACTGGCATCTAACTGCCTAGCAATCGGTAGGTATATACAATGAATAGTTCTATGGTTAGGCACACAGATTTAGGAGTTAAACACTGTGGATCCCAGTCCTTGCTGTTTACTAATTGTGTAATCCCAGTACAGTATATCACTGTAACCATCAGTTACCCATCTTTAAAATAAAGCCAAAATATAGACTCTATGTGATAGTGGTGTTACAAGAACATAATCATGCACGTAAATTGCCTAGAATAGTCCACAACACCATTTAGAACAGAATGTATGTTAGCTATGACAAGTATTGGGCTGAAATACATTGAGGTTGGGATTATTAGAAAATGAGAGCGGGGGCAGTAAAGTGATCTTCAAACTTAAATGTGTATGGAATTTCCCGGAGGCTTGTTAAGGTTCAGTTTGCTGGGCTCCACCCCCAGAGTTTGTGACTTAGCAAATCTGACTTGAAGCCCAGAGTTCTTCTTATACATTCCTAGGTAATGCTGAATCTCCACACTTGGGCAACCGCTGAGTTAACAGCTACATGCCAGGCAGCCTTTTCCACCACAGATAATGACTTATGCCAGTAGTTCTTAAAACGTGCTCTGCAGACCTGCACAAACCAAAGTGACTCCTTCTGAGTTCCCAGAAGCAGTTCTCAGATCATTCATTTTGCCACACATGAAAATCCACTGTTTGGAATCATCTGGACTTTTCTCTACCCTCTAAACAAATATAGAAAGCATGCACATTCAAACACTTTATACAAAAGCCTATGAAATGCTGTATTATCTTCAGGAAGAACTTCAAGTAAAATAGAACACAATGACCAATAAATTCTTTTTTGGGGGAAGTGTTGTGGTTTGACTCTGTGTCCCCTCCCAAATCTCAGCTTGAATTGTAATAATACCCAAGTGTTGTGGGAGGGACCCGGGGGGAGGTAACTGAAGCATGGGGGCGAGTTTTTCCCATGCTGTTCTCTGACAGTGAATAAGTCTCAAAAGATCTGCTGGTTTTATTAAGGGAACTCCACCTGCACACGCTCTCTCTTGCCCGCTGCCGTGTAAGACGTGCCTTTTCCCTTCTGCCATGATTGTGACACCTCCTCAGCCATATGGAACTGTGAGTCCATTAAACCTCTGTTTCTTTATAAATTACCCAGTCTCTGGTGTATCTCTCTTAGCAGTGTGAAAACAGACAAATACAGGAAGCTTGTCACACGTCTGAGATGGCCACTTGATGCCAGATCAACTATGTGACTTGTGGTCTTGGCCCACGAGACTGTCCTTCCATGTTTCCCTCTTCCCACACTGCATATCTTGACATTGGCTCCCAAAGGAGTTACTGATATCAGACCCCCCAAAAAAGTTTGGTGAGGTAAAGTAAGTCTTCCATGCAGGGTTTATTATGGACAAATCTAAAAACCAATTTTATTGTAATGGACCAAAAAAGTTTATAGTAGGAGTTATTCTTTATAATGAAAGAGAGGTATGATATATGAAAAAAGATAAATGGAAGGTATCACATCAATAACGCAGTCCCTTTGAAAACCAAAGGGTCATTCATTCATAACCCATCAGTAAGACTTGACTTTCTTTTTCCCTCCTCGAGATTTAATCACTTCATAAAGCCCCCATTTTCTCTTTCCAATCTTATCTTCTGTGGTAAAAATATCAAATCACAGGGGATTAATGGAGAAAAATAATGCTCTTTTCCTTTTATTTTATTTTATCCTCCTTCTCCTCCCCTAAAAACAGCTTTCCTGCCACTAACAGATCCAAATTACTCACCTTTGGCACAGGCATCAGGTTTATATTTATTCTTTAGGGTGGTTGCCATGACTACACTTGAGTTACCAAAGGAAGAAGTGAAAGGTTGGACTCAAGCAATCTTTGAGTGCAGCTTTGTAAATTTTTGACCTGGGCAGGCTATTCTGGAAATAAAGAGGATTGACCTGAAGGAATTAAATAAATAGCCTCCATAGATAGAGACCTACTGAGGTAGGAGGTGGGATTCAACTCCAGGGCCAGGGCTCAGACACTGGACCAGATTGAAGACTAACTAAAACGGGACCAAGGAGGAAACAGCTTTAAATCAGGCCCACTAGTATGGCATGCCAATTTACCATTACTATGGTAACACCTGGGAGTTACTGCCCCTTTTCCATGGCAATGACCCAATGACCCAAAAGCTACTACCCCTTCTTAGGAAATTTCTGCATGAACTGCCTCCTGATTTGCATGTAATTAAAAGTGGTATAAATAGAACTGCAAAACTGCCCTGAGCTGCTTCTCTCTGCTGAGGGGTTGGCCCTACTCTGCAGGAGCAGTCAAGGAGCTGCAACATCACCAGGGCTATAACACTGCCTCTTTCATAAAGCTGTTTTCTTCTACCTCTAGCTTGCCCTTGAATTATTTTCTGGGGAAAGCTAAGAACTCTCATGGGGTAAGCTCCACTTTGGGGGTCACCTGCCCTGCATCACTACTAATTTGGTCACTCCTGACATGGCATGACTTACTGGGGAGAAGGGTTTCCCGCTAGGGCCTTGCTCTATCATTAACACTCAGAAGAAGAGTTTTCAAAGATCCCAAGGAACACCTCATGGCACAGGCTTAACGTGACACTTCCCCTCCTGCTTGCGATAAATTACCCTTACTCTCTACAGTTCAGTTTAACATTTCATCTGGCAAGAAGTCACCATAATTGTCTCTCCAAAGCTGCAGCAAAAAACAAATCCTACACGTTTATTACAATTTATGAGCACACTGGTGGAACCTTTGTGTTATGGCACACGTGGTGAGAATTTCAGACTTGGTGCAAGGGCCTTCTTCTATAGACAGGGAACGTGGAGAGCAGAGAAGGGAAGTGACCTGCCCCACAGGTTGGGGGTGGGCAACTCCCTATGAAAACCACATCTGGAAGCAGACAGCCTGCTAAGGAAGAACCTGTGTCATGTCCCAGTGGGTTCCTACCACACATAACAAGTGAATAACCAAAGCAAGATATTTTCTTGTACAATTAGATCCTGAACCAAAACTGGGGCTATATTCCTGGTTCCAATGTCCAGTACCCTGTGAATTTTGGCCATCATAAGTGACATTTTTGGACAGGTGTATTGGCTCTTGCCTGTAATCCCAGCACTTTGGGAGGCCAAGGCCAGAGCTCAGGAGTTCAAGACCAGCCTGGACAACATAGCAAGACCTCACCTCTACAAAAAGTTAAAAAAATGAAAATATTAGCCAGGTGTAGTGATGCGCGCCTGTAGTCCCAGCTACTCAGGAGGCTGAGGTGGGAGGATCACTTGAGCCCAGAAGGCAGAGGTTGCAGTGAGACATGGTCACACCACTGCACTCCAGCCCAGACGACAGAGCCCTACCTCAAAAAGAAAAAAGAAAAAAAAATATTGAAAAATAAAAATAAAAATAAACGGAGGAAAGAAAAGAAAAGACAGTGACCTTTTATAGGACCTCAACATCGCATTAGAAAATCCCTCATTCCTGTAGCCTTTGAAAAGCAAGACCCTCCTCTATTTGTGAGTGTCCGGTGGTTTGTAATACATCACTTTTGACTAAGTCACTACATTTCTACCCATTCAGGCACAGACTTCAGTGAGCATCCAGGAAAATGTCCAGCTTCATTCAGCTTTTTGGTTACTTAGTCATTTTGACTGAAACTCTGTACCCGCTGGGATAGGAACCATTCGTTCAAAAACAAATTTACAAAATAAACTATGATCCTAATCCAGTTTCTCCACTAAAAATCCGACTAATTTTTCAACAAATCATACTTTCGCTCTTCACAGTCACGTCAAAAAACGTTCTGCAAGAGAGAAATTGAGGTAATTGACGTTGAGAACACCGCTCACTACAGATACAATTTTCCTGTGTGTCTGTCTTATCTGTTCTTTAATTTTTTTCCATTTTTATTTATTTAGATACATAATATTTTACGTATTTGCAGAATACATGCCATATTTTGTCACATGTGTAGAATATATAACCATCAGTCAGGGCATTTGGGGCACCCATCACCTTCACTGTTTATCATTTTTATGTATTGGGAACACTTCAAGTCCTCTCTTCCAGCTATTTGAAATACACAATACAGTTTTGCTAACTACAGTCACCCTCCTCTGCTACAGAATGTCGGGGCTTATTTGTTCTATCAAACTGTATGTTTATACCCACTAACCAACCTCTCTTTATCCCCCTTTACCACCCACACACTCTTCCCAGGCTCTGATATCAGTCATTCTATTCTTTAGCTCCAGGAGATCACATTTTTTTAGCTCCCACATATGAATGAGAAACATGTGGGATCTTTCTTTCTGTTCCTGCCTTATTTCCCCTAATATAATGACCTCCAGTTCTATTCATGTTGTTGCAAATGACAGGATTTCATTCTTTCAGATAACTATTGTGTATATACACCACATTTAGTTATTTACTTATTTTTCCTGTACATTTCTCACTTCTCTTATTTTCTAATGTTTATTTTTCTGTCTCTGATTTTCTTCTTCACTAGAAAATATCTTAATGCAGCCAGAAGCTCTCAGTGGTACCCGTGGATGGTGTCCTTATGGAGGAATCCTACGATAACAGGGGTAGACTCTTTGGAAACCCAGAAAAACTTTACAAATAAAGAACATGAGAATAAATCGATATTGGATAAATTGACATTGAATAATTATCAAATTAATACCTTAGCTTTAAATTGTGAAACAAAAAAATAAGTATTCCATTGCATTTATCTTTTAAAATGCAGCAATGAAAAGCATGTTTACCACATAAACACTGTTTTCAAACAGTATTCATAAATAAGTCAATTGAGCTAAATGTGATTTAAAACTACCTTGGTGGGAAACCAAAATGCTGTAGATACAGTGGCAGATCGTTGTAAAGACATTAGGGGTCCGGTAAATTTTATAGAAAAAAAAATATGACATAAGTTAAAAGCATTACTAAGAAGGAGGATATGTAATAAAGGATAAAAATATATTTTTAAATTGAAGCTATGTGGGGAAAACATATCAGCCAATAAACACTGAATACATTTAGCTGTGCACTGCTTTTTTTAGTTACTCCTGTCAGATTTGTTTACATCATATCAGATAATATAAACATGACGTCAAAAGATAAGAAGGCTTTATAGAGCAAAAAAGAAAGCTCCATTTATGGCCTATATTAATAAGAATTCACAAGAGAGAGAAGGATATTCATTAACCCATATACGAGGAAAAGTCTATCCACAAGTTAAGACCTACATCCTTCTTCTAAATTTGCAATGTGTTTAGCTGCCTTCAAATTCACCTTCTCCGAGCAAGATAAAAGCTTCTTACTGGCTTAGGTTTTGCAGATAATCTTCTGGCCTATGAGTTGAAGTCAGCATGAGTGTTACTTATAAAGATGTTCATTATGCTGTGACTCAAACCAGTGGGAAAATAAGGTGGTTAAATGATCAAGGTTTCAGTGGGTAATACATGGGAGAAATCAACAGAGAGCAAGGACATTGGGAGCTGCAGTTGTCAGGACACTTCTTATGAAAGGACAGGGGTGGGAAATGTATACATTTAGCTGAACCCTAAAAAGTAATCCCAGCATTGAAGCCCATTACTGTACACCGGTGAGTATTATATGCCTCAACGCATGCTAAGAGGTCCTGGAATCATATCTCCATTCAGTGAAGAGACATAGATAACACTAGAGTACCAGGTTATCAAAATGACTCCAGTATCCTACTCCAAATCTGAAACCTCAATGTAAATACAGGGATCTGAAGCTACCTGTAAATATTATCATTTATTCTCCTTGTCAATTCTCAGCCTCCAGAGTAGCTGAGATCACAGGCATGCACCACCATGCCTGGCTAGTTTTTTAAATTTTTTGTAGAGATGAGGATTTTGGGATGTTGCTCTACCTGGTCTTGAACTCCTGGCCTCAAATGATCCTCCCACCTTGGCCTCCCTAAATGCTAGTATTATAGGCACCGGCCACTGTGCCTGGCCTCAAGTGGTTTTTAATGTGGGGCATGACAGACTATCCATTGGGGTGTTTGTTTCTTTTCATTTCTATTTTTTTGTATGTTATAATGTACATAATACTACTTACATTATAAACATACTGCTATGTACGTATATACTACTATGTTTGCTATAAAATACAAACAGAAATGAAAAGATGTACAGGCACATTAGATATAAATGAGCAATGCTGAATAAAAATCATCAGCACTTACTGAAAGTTTCCTATGTCTGGCATTCTGTTAGTCACTTTACCTGAATTAACTAATTTAATCCTCAAAGTCACGAATGAGGTAGAGGTTCTTATTATTCTCATTTTACAAATGAAGAAAGAAAGGCACAGAAGTCTATCTGTCTAAGGTCACAGCTAGTGACCAAAATAGATGGGGAAAAGATGATAGATAGACAGATAGGCAACACTTAAAAAAAAAAAAAAAAAAACCCTGAAACACACCATATTCTAACAATGGTCATTTATGATCACTAGATGATAAACAAGATTTTTCTTCTATATACTGTTTTGTATCTTCTAAAATATCTATAATGAACAGAATTGCCTTCATAACTTGAAAGAAATATGAAATAAGGAAAAGCATTAAGTTTTAAAATGGAAACACTGAAATTTAGTGAAAAAGGTAGAAAACCAAAAGACACACTGAAGAACAAGGTAGAAACTTACATTACTTGAGAAATAAAGAATGGGCATGGGCTGATTTTTTAATCATAATGTGCACATTTCAAAGTGTGATGATGGTCAAATGAATAAAAACAAATCTAAGAAACAAGCCTCCATCTGTGAAAATAAGCTTCAACAAGAAATGAAATCACTTTGAAAACGATGTAAGATTTGAAGAGAAGGATTCGAACACTGATGTTCCATGGTTCGGCTAATCAAAAATGCTCAAATGTTTTAGATTGTGATGGGTAAAGGACACAGAGCAATGCCTATTCTAGACAGCTGAGGAAAATTACTTGCTTCATAAGGATTCTAGGCAGGTTTCTGGAATTAAATTGGTGGCAGTAATCATGTTGTTATTAGTGTAATTGCTTTCTGACATCTGTTTCACTGTCATAATCAGTTCTCTGATAATAGCAAATGACATGAATAGTATATATCTAATCAGTAATATTCAATGCTTCACCAAAATAAAATTGAAATTATATACCAATTATATACACTCCTTACCAAATTCTCTTCAATCACGTAATATCACACATATGATATTTACTGCAATAATGAGGATAGGCCAGTCCTTACTGTCCTTTCCTAGTAATTTGTTTTCAATAATTTTTATGAGGTCATATAAATTAGAAGTTCCTTGATGAAATAAGAATGTATACATTGTGGCTGAAGGCATGAGGATGTGTAATTTTTAAACAAAATGTGTTTTTATTACATTTTTATTACCAAAGCTTACTATTCAATGTACTCTGTCTTGGAACTGTGAGCTTACTTAGTTTTTAATGATAAATTTAATATTAATAACAGTAAGATTGAAAGAGTATTTTAAGGCTGAGCCTGCCACCACAACTATGGTTATGACCTTCAAAAATAATATAAACTTCCTGGGTTATATTTGTAAAATGAAGAGATTGGACCAGATAGCCCCTAAATCCTCCATCTAGGAAAGTTTTGTAATCTTATTTGAAAGCTGCATACTTATCTAAAGCTTAAACACTTGAGTTTTTAGTTAATGTTAATCTTCTCCCTTCTCTGTAGCCAAATGAATAAAACTTTTATTTTAGTTTTAATCCTAAGAGATTCCTTTCCTGAAAAAAAAATAGCATTTCACAACTATATATAGATATTAACTGTCAATCCAAAACACATTGCTGACCACTGGCATTTCCAAGATAGATTTTAGTGAAGAAAAAGAATCTACAGGACATCAGTGCATCAGAAAATGACAGGAGAGTGGTGAACAAACCCTTTGGGTTCCAGTAACATTACACAGGAAATTAGTTAACATTTAGTTTTTGTCTTCAATTATTCCTCCTTATCAAGAAGTGATTTAAAAAATTCTACTGCCAACCTATTCAAACGATGAAATTTTAGATTGTTTGAAGATCTAAATGGCTATTTAGAATGAAAGCAAGTTAATTTTCCTTCAACCTTTGTTATCATAAGATGTTAATACATATGTAACCTTAACAGGAAGCAAGAAAGTAAATGGATGTATGCCCAAAATCTACATTCTAAAGAGTCTGCCGTTACACATTAATCTCTGTCGAGTATCTCTAGTATCTGTTTAACAAAAAAGTAACAGTTACCATTGGTGAACGCCCCAGATCAGGTACTAAGAATTCTCTGTTTCATATTTTAATCATCACAAAAAAAAAAAACACCAACATGTGAGGTGGGCATTATCATTTGATTTTACAGAAGACAAAACCAAAGAATTAAGGGTGAAGCAATTTCCCAAGTACACAGAATTAATAATTCATGAAACTTGGAATCAAACCCAGGCCAGTTCTTTAAGGCCCCTGTGAGCTGAGTCTAGTTCAGTGGTGTCCAATCTTTTGGCTTCCCTGGGCCACATTGGAAGAATTGTCCTGGGACACACGTAAAGCTCACTAACACTGAAGATAGCTGATAAGCTTAAAAAGAAATTGCAAAAAAATCTCATAATGTTTTAAGAATGTTTACGAATTTGTGTTGGGCTGCATTCAAAGCTGTCCTGGGCCACATGCCCAGGGCACATGGGCCATGGGTTGGACAAGCTTTCTAGACCTTTCTCTGTTGTTTCTTAGCTGAAGGTAGCAGAGCAGTAACTTTTTTTTTTTTTTTTTTTGAGACTGAGTTTCGCTCTTGTCTCTCAGGCTGGAGTGCAATGGTGGGATCTCTGCTCACTGCAGCCCCTGCTTCCCAAGTTCAAGGGATTCTCCTGCCTCAGTGTCCTGAGTAGCTGGCATTACAGGCACCCACCACCGTGCCTGGAAGATTTTTGTATTTTTATTACAGACGGGGTTTCACCATGTTGGCCAGGCTGGTCTTGAACTCCTGGCCTTAGGTGATCCACTGGCCTCGGCCTCACAAAATGCTGGAATTATAGGCATGAGCCACCACACCTGGCCCCAGAGCAGTAATCTTAAGCGATGCTTATAAGGAGCCGAAGCTTAAACTTGTAACACCTAGAGTCATCAGAATTCACTGGTGAGCACCACAATCCAGTTTGCATGTGTCACCACTTTTCTAATCAACCAGCACATTGTTAAAATTAGCAATTATATCACACTTATTTATCTTTATTCCCAATTATGAAATAACCATGAAAATAAATTCAATTAAGCATAATTCAGATGGAACTGTTTGAACAGGCTGCGGTTGTGTACACTGTCACACTCAATTTCCAAAACAGGCTTTTATAGCAAACATTTCTATCTTTGTTCTATAAGACTGAATAATTGACTTCAGTTCATCTGAGCTCACACTTTTCAAAAGCATTTCAACACCTTCATAAATTTAAGGAGACTATAGCAAAGTGACTTGTCTGTTTTACTTGGACTTAAATTGCTCTGATTACAGATTTCCAATGTTGTATTTATTATCATGGGCTAGGAAACAACAGAGTAAAGTTAACAAATAGTATAGAAAATACTAAAAGCTTGAGTTGTTTTCAGTCTTTTATACGTAAATGAATAATTCCATAATCTATTCTAGCAATACAAGTGAATATTTAGAAACTGGAAGTTTAAATTTTTTAAAGTTATATATTAGCCGGGCATGGTGGTTCACACCTGTAATCCAAGCACTTTGGGAGGCCTAGGTGAGAGGACTGCTAGAGCCCAAAAGTTTGAGACCAGCCTGGGCAACATAGCAAGACCCTGTCTTTACAAAAAAACTTAAAAATATTGGGAGTCTGGGGTGGAAAGACGGTTTGAGCCCCAGGAGTTGGAGCCTGCAGTGAGTCATGATCGTACCACTGCACTCCAGTCTGGGCAATAGAATGAGACCCTGTCTCAAAAATAAATAAATCAATAAATATATAAATTTATTGAATTGTAACTATTTTTTCCTTCTTGTTTCACCAAAATGCAAGTAATGGACAGAGGAAATGGTTTTACGTTAGTCACTTTTTGCTAATATCTTGTCAGGTTAAGAGTCTTACATGAACAAGAAATAAACTAAACCAAAACAAAAAGGACAGGCCTCGGTTGCTGATTTATGTGGAAGCATGTGACAAAGCAATTTACATAGGCAAACAATGATAAATGACCTAACAAGTTCAGTTACAAACTGAACGATCACTGCAGACTGATGCACATTTATATTCTATGTTTGCATTTCTGCATGTCTTATAAAACAAATTGCAAAATCCATTAATTTTGCATTTTGGTGTTTTTGTGTTTGCAACTCATTACAAAGTTAAACTAGGTCGGATCATTTCAGCAAGCACAAACTATGTAACCACCTTAGCATTCACCCATAAATATTGTAAAATTATCAGAACCTGACCTAAGCCACCCATTTATCATCTTTTACTTTCTTTCCAACTCATTTATTTGTCTCTGCCTGCCCACCAACACACACATACACACACACACACACACACACACACACACACACACTCTCTCTCTCTCTCTCTCTCTCTCACTTACTCAATGAGAAAACAGAGCAATGTTGCAATTACTAAGAGAAACAACCGTATGATCTATCCTGAAAGATAACCTACTGATAAGAAGGGCTTATGTGTTTTAACTTTTGTTCTTGTTTGTAATTTCAAACTTGCATAAGCTTGATATTTCACTTCATTTCTTTTTTTTACTTCAACCTGGTGAGGAATGTCTTGCTGGGTAACATGTTACAGGTGATTACAATCAGCCCTTTTAGTCCTCAAACAATCTTATAAAACAACTGTTGATAAAAAAAAAACCTTCAATTCACCTCGCAAGCAATACTTGGAGAAAATAAATAATGTCTCTTTTATAAGACTTTACAGTTTCTTAGTGAGAAGAGAGTTCCAAAAATTTCTTGAAAGGCAATTTTGAACTTATTCCCTGATTCCTTAAACACAAATAAAGGCTAGAAAGTCCCTATTTCACAAATGCTTACTGAGTACCTAATATGTGCAAGGGACTATTTTAATCACCACAAAAATTCATCTTCGCAAGAGCCATAAAATTAATTACAGTGAGGAAAAACAACATTCTTTCTTCTATTTATTATTGTAATTCCCGATCTCCTTATTGGCGAAAGAACAATGGAGTCAGGATTGCCTTTCTTTCAGGGTGTAAAATTGACTTTAAAAAGTGGCTGAAACTAAACAAATTATTTTACATATCCTGGTCTTGAATGCAGCTGTTATTTCTTTATGCTGTTAGAACCATTTCGTAGCCCCAGACTTCACTGATAAAATAAAATGGAACTTACTCATTTTTCCTGCTGCCACTTCTTAAGATGAGATTCTCTTTCCAACAAACTTGATTCTATTTGAGTGATTTCATGGATTTAAGGACTTCAGGTTACATAAAACGTGATATCATCTAAGCCTTAATTAAATTTTTATTAGGTGTCACAGCAATATTCTTGCAAGTGATAAAAGAAAGCCTTTTTAAAGTCAAGTTGCATTTTTGGAAGGCTGTGATCATTTTTGTTGAGACAGTGATCCTAACATGGTTTCCTGTATTGCTAGTATAGATTCTCAACTCACTTATGCACCTACTGATTGTCTTCCCCCATGCCTATAAATGAGCTCAAATCTCCTTTGCCGGCAAAAAACCCTCTCTTCTCTTATGTTCCCCTCTGGCCACTCCCTCTCTGTCATTTACTTCCCAACCATACTCTTTTTTTTGTTTTCTTTTCAGACAGGGTCTCACTCTGTTGCCCAGGCTGGAGTGCGGTGGACCAATCTTGGCTCACTGCAGCCTCAACCTCTTGGGCTCAAGAAATCCTTCCACCTCAGCTTCCAGTGTAGCTGGGACCACAGATGTGCACCACCACATCCTGCTAATTTTTTTATTTTTATTTTTGTAGAGATGGGGTCTCACTTTGTTGCCCAGGCTGGTCTCAAACTGCTGGGCTCAAGCGATCCTCCCATGTCAGCCCCCCAAAGTGCTGAAATTATGGCTGTGAGCCACCACACCCAGATCCCAGCCATGCTTTTTAAAAGGCTGGCACGTCATCCACCTTACTGCATCCTTCTCTGATCTTCATCACTACCCTACCACAATCTGCCACCAGCTAGCCACCATTCCTCCACCAAAACCACTCTTATTGAATTCCCTGATCTGTCCTAGTGATGCTTTTCCTAATCTGCCTCTCACTCTAGGTGGCTCCTCCTATATCTCCCGCCTGGGGGCCCATTCCTCAGTTTCCCCTTCCCAGACCAGCTCTCTAGGACTCTGACCTTGACCCTCTGCTCTTCTCTGATTATTCCTGCTCACTGGCTGGTTCCCATCACCACCAGATACACCTCGATGATTTGACATCCTGAACTCATCTGAGCCCTCCCTGCTGAGCCCCAGTCCTGGGAGAGTTGCTGTCTTCACTGGTATGTCCCATGAGCACCTCAGTACTCGCCAAGTCTAAGGTTGAGCTCATGTTTCTATTCCCTAAAGCACCTGGAAAACATGAGAATTATCTTAGCTATCCTCCTCTTATCTGAAGCCTGCATCACATTCCATCTTTATTGATCCAGTAGTGCTGAATTTGGTCTATCTCTAGACCTGCCCTTCCTAGCTGCTCTCCACACTAGAGAGACCCTTTGAAGAGCCCATCTGAGTTTGTCACTCAGCTGATAAAAAACCTGTCTGGGTGCGGTGGCTCAAGTCTGAAATTTCAGCACTTTGGGCCAACTGTCAACTTCATGGGAGAATTCAACACCCGGCTAGGTGTGCAAGGCCCTTCCTAATCTTGTGCCTGCTCTTGCCCAACAGGCAAGGGCAGTTCCCTGAAGATTTCACAGTTCTCTGCCCCAGGATTGTTCTCTCTGTTCAGGATGCCTTTCCATCATCTCTGCCCTCCTGCCACTCACACTTCAAATGCAGACCCAGACATACCTCCCTAGGAAGCCTTCCCTGACTCTCTAGGCTAAGACCTATGCTCCCATTTCTCAATGCCATAGTGAATGCACCCACTCTCTCTCTCACACACATATATACACACATCACATTTTCTTACAATTGTCCTTTTTACTTCATGGTAACCTCTACCTGGCAAAGGCTGTATTTTGTATCCCTTCACATCACAATGCTAGGCGCATAGGATACATCTAGCAAATGTTTGTATAGTGAATAAATAATTCTTCTCAGAGCTAAACCTCACTATCAACCCCAACCTAACAGCATATTAATGTCACTTTAATTCAGTCATCTCAGTCCTTTCGAAACAATTACATCTTGAGCCAATTTTGTTTAGTTTATAGGCTAATCCAATTAGATAATTTGGGAAGCTTGAAAAGTTACTAATGTCTGATAATATTAACAAACAGTCTATTGCCAGATGTGTATTGAAATGGTGGCATAGGTGGTATACAGATAGTGTAGCAAATGGGATATTGATTCGGTCCTCAGAGACCCCAACCTCTTTCTTGAGCAGTTTTCTCTCAGCCCCTTTTTGGTATATCTGTCCCTTTGCCTTTGTTAACCCCTGTCTCTTCACAGACACACACAGACACACACACACTCTCTCTCTCTCTCTCTCTCTCTCTACCTCTCTCTTTCTCTGTGATTTTGTGCTGTTCTTGATCTAACCAGGGGCCTTGCCAAAGGCTTCCTTTCCCAGTCCATTGAAACCTGGACACTATACCTGTCTTTTTAGCACACCTGTTCTAGGTTTCAAATGCAGAAGATATGGATGACCATTCCTCCTCCTTGCAATATTTCACATTTTCCAAGATATATTAACTAAACCCAAATAAATGACTCTGTAAGTTAATGACAACCTGCAAGTTCATGCAGGAACAAGGACTGGTTCCATTGCTTTCAAATAACACCATGAAGACGTCCACTTCTATTGCCCATATGTTTAGGGCTAGACTCAACCAAAACACTAAAGGCCTCCATACAGTTCTGGAGAAAAAAAAAAAAAAAGCAAAATATGAAATGCCCAGGAAACTCTGAACTCTGAATGCTTTTTAAAGATTTGTATGCATTTTTTATTTTGACATTTCTTATCTTCTATTCATTGATGCAATCTTAGAACAGGTGTCTTTTTCTTACACATAGATTGCTTACCTTTTCGATTAATTCACTAACACACAGGTAGCATTTTGGATTCCTTTATACACAGAGCATCATTATCCAAAAAAAGTTAACTTATCATCCAAGGGAATTGTGTAATCTCCTAAGGTGGTTTATTTATCCCTAGAAACAAGTACATTAATAAGGTCAAAGTATTTTCTTGCTTCAAAGTAGATGACGCGGCAGAATTTCGCTTAGTGTCCTCAGCCCATGCCAAGAAAAGAAAACTGTTTCTGAGACCCTCATCTCATTTTACACAACATGAGTTTGTTAAAAAATAAACTCCTTGAGTGTTCTTTTAACGCACCTTTTATTGGAATAATGTTTTCCACATCCAGATCTGGCCCTAGGCTATCAATGAGTGAGTGGGAGGGTTGTGAATAAGAGAAAAGCTTTGCATTCCAGCAGGCAGCCATGCAAGTCTGAGCCTGCTGGAGGTGCAGTCGGCACTTCTAGTTAATTGC
Source organism: Homo sapiens (assembly GCF_000001405.40). Taxonomy (NCBI): domain Eukaryota; kingdom Metazoa; phylum Chordata; class Mammalia; order Primates; family Hominidae; genus Homo; species Homo sapiens. Next base: position 19,833,333 of record NC_000010.11, on the reverse strand, counting down.
AGCACTGCTGCAATTTACTGTTCCCACGGCCATCAAAGGCTCTCATTGGCCTGAATTTTTCCCAGACCTGCAACAGTAGCACTGCACTTGACTATCATTAGACCGAAGGTGATATGGTTTTATGTCTGGTACTTTGAAATATAGATTCATCAATAACCAACACTTAATGAGATTAAGTAAAGTTTTCAGAGAAAATTCCATGCCTTGCCCTGCCCTTTTTTGTCTCTGCCTCTGACATCCTTAACTTCCCACTTCCAACTTCCTTATTTTTTCTACTGAAACCCACCAAACATTCAGAGAACAGACATTTTTGACAACAGTTATTATGACTAGAGAGATGAGTAATTTTACTGCTGTGTTACAGATGAAGAAATGGAGGTTCGAGAGTTAATATTTTTTCCCAAGGTCAAAATGGCAACGAGGAAATTTCAGAGCCAAGATTTGGACTCAAGCCCATCTGGCGTCAAAAGCGTCCTTTTAGCAACCACAAGACAATCGAATGTTGTCTTCCCTGGAGAACTTTCCCACCACACACACCTCCGCGGGACTCTTCCCCGGCTCCCTTGTGCAACCACAAGTATTGGTTTGTCCCTCGCACTGTATCCATGTTATACACATGCACATAGCCTCTTGTAAATCACACCCCTTATATATAGAAACCATGTCTTTTTCTATCTCACACAGTGAATTAAAAAATTCGATTGACAGTAGAAACATCTTCCAACTGAAGTTACCCTGGTGGAGGAAAAGGTTAACTAATATAAAAATTATGCAAATTGAACTTTACAAAGATATTTCAAATTATATCATGAAATGTCATATGTTTTAAGCACACATCACACAGACATGTGTAACATGTATCATCTCCAACTTATGTATAAAGAATATGAGATATAATGGCTAGGTTTTCAATTAACCTACAACAGTCTATTTTATTTCTAATAAGTGCATTCATGCATTCCTCCGTGTTTCTTTTTAATTACTGATGAGTTATTGAGTAAATGAATGGAAAGATAAATGAGTCAATGCATTTATTAGATGCAAGATAGACCTTTGTGGGCTATTCAATAAGTCAGTCAACAATTTTTAAATTAAGAGCCTACTACATGCTAGGTGCTATGTCTGAAGCATAGTTATACTATTTTTGTTTTGTTTTTAAATTTTTTAAATTCTGGAGAACCCCAATAAACAAAAGTATTAAATAAACAACATCAATAAGCATTGGCTATGGAGCACTTATGAATAAATGAAAAATAATAAATGAATAAACGAAAAACCCATTTGTTTGATGGGTTTTTGCCTCTTATTTCTGGGTGCAGATTATTGGACTAACAAAAACTATGATATGTCATCCATGAAAGAGTTAAAGCTCTGGGTGTATATGCAGTAAAGGGATTGCTGGGTCAAAAACATAAATCATTCTACCATAAAGACACATGCATGCAGACATGCATTGCAGTACTATTTACAATAGCAAAGATGTGGAATCAACCTAAATGTACATCAGTGATGGACTGAATGAAGAAAATATGATACCTATACACTAGGGAATATTATGCAGCCACAAAAAAGAATGAGATCATATCCTTTGCAGGAAAAGGGATGGAGGACATTATCCTTAGCAAAGTAATGCACGAACAGAAAACCAAATATCACATGTTCTTACTTATAAGTGGGAGCTAAACGATGAGAACACATGGGCACAAAGAGAACAACAGACACTGGGGTCTATCTGAGGGCGGAGAGTGGGAGGAGTGAGAGGAGCAGAAAAAATAACTATTGGGTACTAAGCTTACTACCTGGGTGACAAAATAATCTGTACAGCAAACCCCTGTGGCACAAGCTTACCTAAATAACAAACCTTCACATGTACCCCTCAGCCTAAAATAAAAGTTAAAAAAACAAAAAAGAGTTAAAGCCTTCCCTTTCATGGTTTCCCACTGCCTAGAAAGTTCATCTATACCCATAGGAAAAATAAAATGAGGACAGGAACTGCTAGCCAAATAAAGGAAGACAGTAAGTGAAACACCAAGAAAGATGAGAAAAATAAGACCCAGGTACAAGAATTGAATATGTAATATCAGAATGGGATAAAAAAATCACCCAAGAAAACCAACAGAGAAGAAAGAATATATCACAGTCACAGCTTATGACTTATCTGATGAATGCCACTGGACATCTGAGATTTGAATCATTTTAATGGTCATTGATAATATGCCCTATCAAATGAAAATTATGCAGAAAAGTTCATTAAGTATTTATTAATTGCCTTCTATATACCAAGCACTATGAAAGGTGCCAAGAAAACAAACAAGCAAAAAAACAAACAAAAAAAAAAAGGAAACAAACCTGGTTCCTACCCTCATAGAGCTTACAATTTAGTGGGAAGAAGAGTCCTCAATTGAATACTTACACAAATAGCAATATAATTAAACACTTTGATGGATTTCTCAAGACTCTTTCAGCAGCAAGTAACAAATCCCAGCTCAAAATCAGAATTTCCTGCTTTATCACATTGGGCAGTCCAAGATTGCCTATGGATGGCTCTAGACTTTTATCTTCCCAATGCAACAACTCCCAGGAAAAAAAAAAACCTTCTCTTTTCCGGAGCATAGTTAGAGAAAGACCAGTTAGCCTGAGGTCCAGGGGTGAAGATACACTCTGCATGGCCACTTTTGAGACACAAGCTGATCACAGGAAATATGCCACTATTAAAAGAAACCCAGGAGAACAACATAGAGTGGGGAGAGGACATTCCTAAATAATGGGAGGGTGCTGTTACCAAAGGATGGGGGAAAGAGATACTGAGGAGATAGAAATATCAGATGTTCACACCATACCATGAGTATGGAAGAGAGGAAGAACTCTGGAGAATGTTTCAAGAAAAACAGTAAAAGCCAAGGTAAGAAAAAAATGTGCTCTGAGTATAAGAGAAACAAACTGTTGATTACATGGTAGATGCTGACCTGAACGGATTAAAACGTCAGCAAGTGGATCACATTAAGACTGTGAAAAGAGTTAACTCAAGTCCCTGAGTGTGGTACTAAGAGATTGTATTGATTCTTTTGTTGAAAAATATTTAAAAGGCTACCAAGTGATCTGTATCTGAAAAATCTCTTAAATATCTATTTCCCAGGGGGTGTTTCCCAGTTGGACTCCTTTGCCTTGAGATAGGTGGAAAGCTATTTATGCAAATTTCATGGCTCTATCTCTAATTTCTATTTCACTCATTGTTTACCCATATATCATTTTTAACTATGGAATTCTCTCCAGAGAAGCAAATTAACAGATTTTAATATTTTATCAGACAATTCAAGTTGTGGGTTACAAATTAGAGAGGATTAAAATCTTGTCCTTTCACAGCCTTTGAAATGTTATTCAGATTTACAAAGCTCAGAAATTTAAAACTACTCTTGATAACACCGATTAAAGTATCCCTTTCTCTGTTCTTGCTAGCTTAGTATATGACTGGACAATTTGTAAATCATCCTTTGTAAATGAGTTCTCAGTTCTTCACAAATATATATGACAAATTATCTTACTTTGCAGTCACTCCATCTCTACCTTCTCTGTACATTTTGACTTTTTTTTTAAATTTTTACTTTTGATATGGAGTCTCACTCTGTTGCCTAGGCTGGAGTGCAGTGGCATGATCTCGGCTCACTGCAACCTCCACCTTTTGGGTTCCAGTGATTCTCATGCCACAGCCTCCGAGTAGCTGGGACTACAGGTGCCCGCCACCACGTCTGGCTAATTTTTTGTATTTTTAGTAGAGGCCTTCCAAAGTGCTGAGATTATAGGCATGAGCCCCCGTGCCTGGCCTGTCGTTGATACTTTAACCCAGGACATCACATTACAGAAATTGTAACTTAGAAATTTTGCTCAAAGAAACATGTGGTAAGAAAGTATCAACAAAACTCTTTGCATGAGTGATAAACCTGAACAAACACAGCACCATTTATAAAAGTGGAACGCTAACAAGCATCCTACAGCAAATTTTCAGAGAGCTTCCTATGCTTGGAGCTAGGGAGGCACTGGAGAATGAGTCACAGAAGGCAGTTTATAGTCAAATGCAGGCACAAGTAATTACTATTGATGATCAGTGAAACGATAAAGACATCAAGGCTAAGTGGAGATCTGAAGGACAAAAAGCCAAAAAAAAAAAAAAAAAAAAAAAAAGAGGAAAGCGTGCACCAAAAAGAGGTAAAAGCACGTGCACAATTTCAGAACAGAGACAATGTACGGGGATCCTGGGGAAGGACAGAAAGTGCTGAACTTGAACCTGAAGAGGTCAAACAGGACCAGATACCTTCAGCATGAGAGCAACGGAAAGGCACAGGAGTGGTTCCAACAGAGGAGGGACACAGTCAGATTTGCATTTTAGAAAGATCTTTCTGGCTGTGGAATGAAGAATGGGTTCCAGCAGGGCAACTTTGGAGGTAAGGTGGGAAGCCTTTGCAGTCAGCCAGGCTAGAAAGGCCAGGCCTGTTGAAGACAGAACAATAGAACTGGGGGCTGGAGAAAAGCCATCTGAAGTCAAACAAAAGTCCTTGGCTTAAAAAAAAAATCAGCTTCTTATTGGCCATGCCTATTTTCAAACACCTCTTCTAAAAACAGCTTGACAAAACTGAGATTGCACCAATCTGGCTTCCTGCATGGAGCTGTTTTGCAATGTCCAGACAATGAGACTGTCATGTGCAGAATGACTTTAAATCTTGCTTGTTTTTAAAAATATCTGAAATGAACAACAGATGTTAAAAAGATAAAGAAGGCTAAACAACCAAGAAATAAAACAAGCTGCCTGGCTTTTCCATGTACTCCTGATTAAAAAATACTCAGATCACCAAGCCTGACTTCAGAGCCGTAGCCAGTCATGGACTGTGCTGAGCTGGAGGTGGAGTTCACATTTTCAAATCAAACAACAAAATTGTACCCCTCTCCTTTGCAAATGCCTGTAGTCTAAATAAAATAATAAATTCTATTGTCTATGGAGGGGTAGCAACTTGCAAACTGTACTCTCATTCAAAGTAAATCTCCAATGGGATCGAAATGAATCAGCTAGTGAGCCATTGTTAAGGAGGATCCTAAAGCTTGGAGATTTTACCTTTCTTTCCAAAGCTGTTTCTTAGGATGCAGCAAACTTAAGACAAAGTCTTGATTGGAGCGTTGCTGGTCCAGAGATAAGATGCGAAGAGGCACATTGCGAAAATATCATCATGTCCATGTGTTATTTGAGTTGAGCTCACTCCTCCATCGTGATAGTTCCTAAGAAGCCAGGTATTAACATTTCCTTCCCTTAACTGAGTTGTTCATTTTAATTAAACTATCATTCCCCATTTGTTTCCTAGGAAACAATTAGATGTATGGTTAGTCTGATGATGTGATAAGAAAACCTCCCCAGCTCTCCATCTGGAAATTTCATTTCAACTAAAAAAGGTCACAGTCAAATAGTCACTATTAACAATTTGTTATGATGGCTGGGCGCGGTGGCTCATGTCTGTAATCCCAGCACTTTGGGAGGCCAAAATGGGTGGATCACTTGAGGTCAGGAGTTGGAGACCAGCTTGGCCAACATGGTGAAACCCCATCTCTACTAAAAATACACAAATTAGCCGGGTGTGGTGGCGCGCCTGTAGTTGCAGCTATTTGGGAGACTGAGGCAGGAAAATCACTTGAACCCGGGAGGTGGAGGTTGCAGTGAGCCAAGATCGTGCCACTGCACTCCAGCCTGGGCAACAAAGTGAGACTCTGTCTTAAAAAAAAAAAAAAGAAAAAGAAAAAGAAAATTGTTATGAAGCCCTGTGGTACTTGTTCTGGCCATTGGATGTTGTAGAAAAGAAATTACGTAGTCTCCCAGTTGTTTAGAAATTGAATTATTTACAAAATGACCCAGAGACTTCATAAGATTGCAATCAAAAGCCCAAGAGTTTGTAGCAAAATCTGAAATGTTTATTCTAAAATGGCTCTGGAAAAGGAAAGAACCTCCTGAAATAGCCAGCTTCTGAAGAGCAAGAACAAGGAGGACCGGTTTGTCCCATCAGATATAAAGACTTATTATAAAGCTACAGTAATTAAGACTGTGTATCAGTACAAGGATAATTATGGGTTCCCCCACCCCCTTTATCTTCAAAGTGGATTATCTCAGCAGGGCTTATTTCAGGATTTATCTTTTTGGAGTAGCCCTTTCACAAACCCAATAACCCAGAAATTCTAGCTCTAAATATAAGCCAAGCATCTCCTGCATGTAAACAGGAAAAGACGTTTGCAAGGATGTTCCTACCCTCACATTCACAAGAGCACTAATTATCCATGGATGGAAAACTGAATAAATCAGTTGTGGACCAGCAGATTACAATTAAGACCAACACAAGTAGATGCAGTTGCTAAAAACAAAACAGCAAGTGATGTGATTTATTACACAACTCAGTCTCCACCAAAATTGTTTCACAACATACCCATCAGTATTTTGCAAGTCTTTCCATATTAACAAACGCGACCACAAGATTCTGATACAGGAGCTATATTTACTCACACTTCACGTAAAACAAAAGGTTTTCATAAAATTCATTCAGTTTGAACAAAAAAACCACCTTTTTTAAAGCTACATAAAAACTTTAAAGCCAAGTTATGAATCAAAGTAGGTACAACTGTACATTATACAAGATATATAATATCCTATGCTAGTTTAACAAAACCAGCATATGAAAATAAAGCACTGAGCAATATCTTTGTAATATAGCAAGAATGCTCTCAAACTAAAATGTGAAATAAAATTTGTTTTAACCTCACAAGTCAACTTGATTTTCACAGGGCATCCACAGTTTTCAAAGTATTAAAATATTCTTCAAATTTTTCTTGTATGACAAAAAAACTAAAATGACCCTCCTGTTTCTGCTCCAAACAAGCACCAAGAAAAAAAGTGCAAAGACACAGTGGTATGTCTCTTAGTTCAATTTTTGTTTCCTGGAATTAGCAAATTAAAGGGCTAAATGACAACAACAAAAAATTCAAAGGTGTATATTCCCAGGACCTATATAAATAGTAAATAGAATTAAAATGGCTAATATCAGAAGCAATAATTCTTGAAAGAATTATGGACAGGCAGTACATTTTGGGCAATCTTAAACATAAAACTACGGACTGGCAAAATAATTAGGAGGTTGAATGTTTTTAAATTAAAAGTTCAGGACAGCATTCCTTGAAATCACAGGAACCCATATCCACTAAGAACATGACTCAGTTTGCCAAAAATTATTTCATATATACTTTTCATTGGGATATTTTGCAATGCAGATTGCATTTATGTAATTTATATATAGACATTTTTCAATGAATTGAAGAGAAAAGATAGCAAAAGGAGAAGGAGAAGAGAAAGCCAAAAGGAGAAGTCAGCTGAAATACCAGACTTGCTCCCGCCAGCTATGCCCACAGGAAGGTGAGTGGGCCCTTTTGACCAGACAAATGAACAAAAAGACAGCATATAAATAACCAGGTTCATTAGGTCAGCGGTAGCTACAGTCTAAGTTTGTATGTTGGAAAGAATTCAGCAAATAGATATAATAGATTCAGCATGAGCAGTACCTGAAATGTACCTTAAATACTTTCCCATCTTAAAACTCATCATTATTGGTACATTTCATGCTCTAAATGATAAATTCTGCCTGTCCTACTTCCCTTTTAGGCTTTAGGGAAATAAATATTTTATTGGATGTTCATATAATGGTTTCAGACAGAAAATGGTAGGAGTTACTACTGTAAGCAGTTGCTACTGTAAGCAGATATCTGTAACTACTACCCAAAAAACATTATCGAATGTTCAATGTTCCATATTCCAGCTGGACCCAAGAATACAGTATCCTAAGCAAAATGAACCAGAGTGTACTTACCAAGCATCATACTCAAAGAGAATATATCAGTTTTATTTAGACTTTTTGTATCACTGAACACTCCAAGGAATACATAGAGAATTGACTTTCAAATATTCGGATTCCTATGCAGTTTTTCCATAGGGCAAACTCTTAACATTCTCTCCATATTCTCAAAGCCTCAATGAGCTACACACCTTACCTACAGGACGAGACCTCGAACAACATGGATTCTAAGGAAAATGTCCAATTATTGAGTAAAAAATAATTGAGGAACTGAGTAATAAGATTCCAGACAAGTAAAAAGGAAGTCAGTCTGCATCTTGGCCTGTGACCCTCTCTTGACAAAATTCACAGACCACTAACTATGATAAGGCCTCAAGCAGAAAGAGTGAGGACAGCCTATTTTAATTTGAAGGGTAAGGTAAAGGTACCAGCGCTTAGATCTGGTTTGATGGCCTCTGACAGAAGAGATTTAAAAGTCTGGATATCCAGTAACGTCACTTAGTGTCTGACCCCATGTTCAGATCTGTAATCCTTAACAGGCTAATTCCAAACAGGCCCCTGACAAGACCTCTAATTCTATTTAAATATACAAATCTATACCATCATTCCACAGCTTACCACCTTTTTAATTAAAAAGAGGAAAATAAAACCAAACAATAAATATGAAATGAGTTCACTGTCTGGTTATAAACACATGTGGAATATTTTATATTCTCATCTTTTGTCAGCTATTATCCTGTTAATGTATAACACAATAAATAGTGGAAGAAACTTTCTTAATAAAAGCATCACTACTTAGCCTGTCATTCTCTAGTAACTTCCTCAGCTTAACAGAATCATTGTGTGGGAGGCAGTGAGGGAAGATATCCTGTGTGAACTCAGTGAAGAAAGACCTCTCAGAATGGAGTACTCTACAGAGATAATTACAGCTTTGGGAAAATGTGCTCAGAATAAAGCCAAAGGGCTGGAATTCATCAGATTAAGAGAAAGTGGAAAGCAACTTAGTGATACACAACCTTATGTATTATGGCGATTCAATTTTATTTGCTTTTTTCCCATCTCCAAAACAAATACCAAACAAGATTTTAAGTGAGAAAAGGTAGAAAAGGTAAGATGAAGACATAGGTAAGCTAGCACACAAATGTAGGCCAGAAGGTTTATATGCTTGTTGGAGGTGGGCCACAAATCTTGCACTGAGATTTCAAGAAACCAAAAGTTAAATGGTAAAACTCCTAGGTACTATTTATAATGTCCAGAAGACACAAACAAGTTCAAAAGAACTATGTCTGTTATTGAAACATAAGGTCTCTCACCCTGTCTCTGTCTCTTTCTCTTTCTCATTTTCTCATGGCATAATATCTTGGGGAGCAGACACCGTGAAATGTATTGCAGAATATCCTCATCTGCTTCCCTGTAACAGCTCCCACAGCAAGATTTTTTATTATTTTACTTTTTGAGACAGGGTCACACTCTGTTGGCCAGGCTGGAATGCAGTGGTGTAATCACAGCTCATTGCAGCCCTGACCTCCTGGGTTCAAGTGATCCTCCCACCTCAGCCTACCAAGTAGCTGGGACTACAGGTGTGCACCACCATGAACAGCTAATTAAAAACAAAACAAAACAAAACAAAAAAACTGTAGAGATGAGGTCTCTTCCCTATGTTGCCCAGGCTGGTCTCCAAATCGTGGACTCAAGCAATCCCCCTGTCTCGGCCTCCCAAAGTGTTGGGATTACAGGTGTGAGCCACTGAACCTCACCTCAAAACAAGTTTTATGAGAATTTTTTTTTTTTTGAGATGAAGTCTTGCTCTGTCGCCCAGCTGGAGTGCAGTGGCGCAATCTCAACCTCCACCTCCCGGGTCAAGCGATTCTCCTGCCTCAGCCTCCTGAGTAGCTGGGACTACAGGTGCATGCCACCATGCCTGGCTAATTTTTTTTATTTTTAGGGAAGACGGGGTTTCACCATGTTGGCCAGGATGGTCTTGATCTCCTGACCTCTTGATCTACCCACCTCCACCTCCCAAAAAAGTGCTGGGATCACAGGTGTGAGCCACCACGCCCAGCCGAGACAATATTTTTACAGCCTCCTTCATTATAGTTTAGTGACATGAGGCCTAAAACAGTTTAATTCAAAAAGAATCCCACAAAGAACCAAAATTATTTAATAGTCTTCATCTTCAGTGAAATGAAACACCACCACCACCATATATGTATGCATATGTACATATATATGTATATCATATTTTAAGATATTAAATTAAAAGCATAAGTAAACATCCCAGCACTTTGGGAGGCTGAGGTGGGTTGATCACGAGGTCAGGAGATCGAGACCATCCTGGCTAACACAGTGAAACCCCGTCTCTACTAAAAAATACAAAAAATTAGCTGGGCGTGGTGGCGGGTGCCTGTAGTCCCAGCTACTTGGGAAGCTGAGGCAGGAGAATGGCGTGAACCTGGGAGGCGGTGCTTGCAGTGAGCTGAGATCGCGCCACTGCACTCCAGACTGGGAGAAACAGCGAGACTCTGTCTCAAAAAAAAAAAGTAAGTAAACATCCAGAAAGAAACTAGCAGTATAGGAAAATAGTGGAATAAACTTTTTGAAAGTCCTATCTATCAACAGAAGGCTTAATGTAAATAACTGATATTAAAATAGGCAAAGTGCCTAAAAAAGACATTTCTCCAAAGAAGACAAAAAAAATGGCCAACAGGCATATGACATGGTCCTCAACATCACTAATCATTAGGGAAATACAAATCAAAATCACAATAAGGTATCATCTCACACCTACTAATATTAAGATGGCTATTGTCAAAAAGACAATAGATAGTAAGTGTGGGTGAGGATGTGGAGAAAAGGCAACCCTTATACACTGTTGGTGGGAATGTAAATTGGTAGAGCCATAAAAAGAACAATATGAAGTTGCTTCAAAAAATCAAAAATAAAACCACCATATGAGCTAGCAACCTCTCTTCTGTATATATACCTGAAGAAAATAAAACCAGAGCCTTTAAGAGGTATCTTCACTCCCATGTTAATTGAAGCATTATTCACAATAGCCAAGATATGACAACAACCTGAGTGTCCATTGATGAATAACTGGATATATATTCCACATACATTGCATATGTAGTGCATATACATTCCATATATAGTGCATATATATTATATATATTGCATATATAGTGCATATATTATATATATTGCATATATAGGGCATTTATATTATATATTGCATATGTAGTGCATATATATTATATATAGTGCATATATACTATATAGTGCATATATAGTGTATATACATTATATATTGCATATATAGTGCATATATATGCACAATGGAATATTATTTAGCTTTAAAAAAGAAGATCTTGCTATTTGTGATAGCATGGATGAATCTGGGGGACATTGTGCTAAGTAAAATAATTCAGACACGGAAATACAAATGCAATTTGCTTTCTCTTATACATAGAATAAGAAAATAAACAAGCATCATGTTGCACAGCTTAAATACATATTATTAAAAATGAAAACAAAGAATTTTTTTTAAAGGAATGTATAAAAGAAAAAAGATATGAGATTAAGAACATGAGTGAACATTCACTCAGAAACCAGCAGGATAGAAGAATGGTCGAATGAATTTTTTGAAAGTCCCACCTAATAGTAGAAGGATAGTTTAGCAGACTTCTGGATCTTATGCTTTGGTTTCAACAGTTACTCTCCAAAGTTCGTTTTAAATTTATTTCTATCCTAGGGATGGACAAAGTCTTAGCATGGGAATTATTTAAAAAGTCTCCCAACGTGGCATTCAAATTAATAATTCAGCTTGAACTATAGTTCTAGTCAGTTCAGTTCAGTCCAACAACCATTTATTGCAACTATTTATTGGTTGTTGCCACAGCAGATTCAGAAATAAATGACAACAGACCCTGACCTCAGGAATGTATGGTCTAGTCTAATAGAATACATGAGAGAGAGGTAGAAATGGAAAGAAAAGGAAACCCTACAATATCAAGCAAGTGCCTTTGAAGAAGGCATAAAGTGCACTGAGAATTCTAAGACAACACGTCCTTTTGTGGAGAGTGTCACTTGAGATAAATCTGCAGGAAAAATTGGAAAATGGATGGATGGAGACGCACTTAGAGAAGGAAGAGCAGGAGGAATGGCAGAAGTGGTAATGCATGGTACACACTCAGGGAACTTCAGCAGCTCATCTGGTGAGAGCTTTCAAGAACAGGCAGGGGAGAGAGGGTGGGAAAGTGCTTGAGGCCACAGGCAATGGCCTTGAAGACCATGGAGAAGAGACTGTATTAATGTGAGGAGAAAGTAGCTGAAGACTTCATTTATTTATTTGTTTGTTTACTTATTTTTATTTTTATTTTGAGGCAGGGTCTCCCTTTGTCGCCCATCCAGGCTGGAGTGCAATGGTGCAATCTCGGCTCGCTGCTATCTCCGCCTCCTGGGTTCAAGTGATTCTCCTGCCTCATCCTCCCAAGTATAGCCAGGATTATAGGGGTCTACCACCACACACGGCTAATTTTTGTATTTTTAGTAGAGGCGGGGTTTCACCATGCTGGCCAGGCTGGTCTGGAACTCCTCACCTCAGGTGATCCGCCCACCTCGGCCTCCCAAAGTGCTGGGATTACAGGCATGAGCTGCCGTGCCCAGCCTGCAGCTGAAGACTTTAGATCCCATGATCAAGGCTGTTGATCAACTCATTCCTCTTTAAAAACATAATGTTTCTGCAATAGGAGATAGCTTTTAGGAAAAAATGACAAAACTAATTGATAAGGACACATATTTTCTTTTCTTTTTTTTTTTTTTTGAGACGGAGTCTCGCTCTGTCGCCCAGGCCGGACTGCGGACTGCAGTGGCGCAATCTCGGCTCACTGCAAGCTCCGCTTCCCGGGTTCCCGCCATTCTCCTGCCTCAGCCTCCCGAGTAGCTGGGACTACAGGCGCCCGCCACCGCGCCCGGCTAATTTTTTTTTGTATTTTTAGTAGAGACGGGGTCTCACCTTGTTAGCCAGGATGGTCTCGATCTCCTGACCTCATGATCCACCCGCCTCGGCCTCCCAAAGTGCTGGGATTACAGGCGTGAGCCACCGCGCCCGGCCGGACACATATTTTCTACATACTCTGTGAGTATCTGATGCTTACAGTGAAGAAACCTGTCTGGAGCAAAATTATTATCTTTCATTATTAAGTTTTATTCAAATACATTCTCCCTGACAAGAGTTTATTTCTGAAGATCACACTGAAATGTGCAAATTCTCCTGATTATAATAATTCCAAACCTCTAGGCAGACATCCATGAACAACAACAACAAAAATTACCTTTGATATAAATGTTCTACACTACAATTATGTCTCAGTCCAAACTTACCCAACCTCAAGCTCCAAAACTTGTATCTGTTCTCTAAAGGAAAAAGAAACTCATATTTCATATTTTTAAAATTTTGCAGGTAGCCTCAAGTCATTGATTGATAAAATAATCAACCTGTCTTTTGTCCAACAATATGACAGATGTCCATTTTACAATAAATGTTCACTTGAATTAACCCCTCTATTATATCACTGTGCTCTAGGTTTATATGTAAACAGAAACTTTAGTGATTATGTCTCAACAGCAACACTCTCATAACAAACTCTACAAATGAGTAATATTTCAAAGTAAATTGTTTAACTCCAACAAAAGCAGGAAATAACAGAAAAATATTCAACCAGAGAAGAACAACTAAAATAAGTGTAAATTATATGATAAACATAAACTACTTCCCTCTAAAACAGAAAAGGGAATAATAGAGGAAATTAGCAGTTTATCTGCCCTCTGGTGGCAATGAAATCAACTGCAGCATTTACTAAAGTAACGCATAATAAAATGTCCCTGTTATGAAATCAGATGTTGTTCCTGTGCCAACATGTCTGTAATAAAGATCCTGATTGTTGCATGACAAACGTCAAGACTGCTGGACTTTTCCCCCCATACTGAATTTTTATATAGACTATTTTACAAATAAAGTTGTATACTTTTTTCTGTTTCACCTTGCTTTTTTTATATATTCAGTAAGCTAACCATTTAATTACAATATTTTTTTCATAAAACTACATGTAAATGATGTCCAGGAAAGAAGCTACTTCTGTTTATAAAAGTCTTCGAAAATTTGGCAAGGAATTTAAAACCATTCTTTTAAAAATCAATCCTATCAATATATGGGTTTCTAGAGTATATTTCCCATCAGAAATATTCAACTAGCTTAAAATACCAGTACACTGATGTTGAACATTTTAAGTATTTTATATTTCCCACAGCAAGGGCTTTTAATTATATGGCCAATCTTACTTTGGGATGAATTTCATCCTCAATTTCTGAACTTCTTGGCATAGCAAATGTGTGTGTATTGTGTGTGTGTGTGTGTGTGTGTGTGTGTGTGTATACATATATTCTTTTTTCAGTAACGTTACTGGAACAGGTTTATAAAAAGATAAACATTTGCTGGCATTTATTTTTTTTTCCTTTACTGCAAATGCATTATTTATTCCTAGTGCCAAAGAAGTTTTTAAATAAACAACTTGGGATGCACATTGGCACACACATCCTTTTAACCTCGTTTGTGGTGGAGTTAATTGTTTTTATTAAGCATCTATTCATACCGTGAATAAGTACATGAAAATTACTGTTGCAATTTTTAAATAACTGTGTCCTTTCCTGGAAGGCTAAAAGTGTTATTTTTTCGGACCAATGAAACGTATCAGAGAAATAAACAAAAGGCATAGTCTACTGTCATAAATCATACACAGTCAAGAACAACCTATGTCCATTAATGCAGAACAATTAAATGTGACAAAGACAAGTCAACACCCAAGAAATCTGCATTTTGTTCTCAGCTTTAAAAGTGTTGTCATCCTATTGCCTCCCTGCACATACACCCCAACACACACACCCCTTCAACCATAAATAAGAGCGCAGAGTCAGTATCTGTGCTTTATCTAGAACAGTTTACACCAGGGACAGGCGAAGTGTTGTGACTGTCTTCTAAGTCGCGGCTTGGTAAATTTCACTCAAGGGTTTCCTTCAAGATCTTCAAGATTCACCTTGCCTGGAATCCCCAGGTGTCCCCCAACCTTCCATCTGTGACTCTCTAGTTGACTGTTGAGGACGCATGCATACTTTCCGGGCAATCATTTAAATTACACACACACACACACACACACACACACACACACACACACACACACCAGAAAAGAACAAATTGACAAATTGATTATCCTAGGGAGAAAGTTTTCGTTTTCTTTTCTTTTCCCTCCAAGTTTTTTCTTTTTTCTTTTTCTCTCGTTTCACCTCCTCTCGAAGTCCACCCTAGTTCACCAATTTCTGCCAAGATCTCTTTCTGCCTGTGTCTTCACTTTCTTCACTGAAAGGCAGAAATGGGGAGTAGGCACCCAGTTCGCGGTGGGCAGGGTTCCAGGAGGCAGCTCCCGCTCGGCGATAGCCCCCGGGGCGCAACTCCCCGCAGGACGCGCACCTGCCAGGACAGCCACTAAGAGGATGCGGAGGTTGGGGGCCCTCTCGGGGACAAAATCAGGGCACTCCAAGGAACTCTCTGCGCGTTCAGGCCTGTCTGTGAAGCTGGCAGGCGGAGGACAATGGGAGCAGGGGTAGGTCTCCAGAGGCGAGCCCGCCTCCACCTTTCCCACCTGCTCCCCACCTCTGCGCCGGCCGCATTTACCCCGCCCCCCTTCCAGCGCCCGCTTGGCCCAGGTCACTAGACGGAGCTAGTGGGGATCGCCAGGGGAAGGAAGGTGCTGCCACAGGGAATTTTCTCGTGCAGAGGGGAGACCTGCAATCCCTGGCTTTCACAACGTCCCCCACCCACCCCATACCACACACGCTTAGTTTAACCAGCAGCGAGGAAGGAGGAGGAGCCGGAGAGCACACAGCCTGGAGATGCCAGGTCCTAGGAGATGTATCCACGGAAGAAGCTTTGCTCTCACACTGAAGCCCTCCCTGGGCTACTTTGGGGAGACAGTACCACCCCCTGCCGCCCAGGTGAAGTAAGCCCGAAAGCCTCAAGAAAACCCCTAGTCCCCGGCGTCCTTCTCTTGATAACCCTCTTTCCCCATTTGGGAAGCCTAAGTTTAGCCGAAAAGCAACTGCAATAAGTTTCCCAAGGGCAGATAGGTGATGTTGGGGGGAGAGGGTAGGGAGCACGAGAGTGCCAGAGAGGTCTTCAGCTGCGCACAAAATCAGCAAGCTAAAGTGCATCTTACTTACCAAGGATTTGGTCTCCGGGTTTCCCATCGGCGAACTGAAACTGGTCCGTGAAGAAGTGGCAAAGTAACATAACTCCTGCAGCGGCCAGGTCGGCCTTCGGGAACCTCGCCATGCCGCCGCCGCCACCTCCCTACCCCACCCGCCAGTCCTTCGCCGGTGCTCGGGGGCTCCCGATGCAATAGGCACGACCGGGCCAAACGCTGCGGATCGGTCTCGGTAGGACCCGGAGGCCTTTGTAAATGTCGCTGCGATTTCACAGTAGGGAACCGAGAAGAGGAAGAAGCGAACGCGAGTAGGAGCGCAGCGCTCTTCGGACCTCTGAGGCTCTCTTTGCAACTTGCCACACTCGCAGCCCTCACCCGACACTGAACAACAACCGCGGGGAGGAGAGGCCACTTGCAGCCGAGGCTCGCAAACTGTCGGTTCCACTCGGGCAGCGCCAACCCGGTGCCCGCGGACGGTGACTTCCGAGCCCCAGCGATGCGCTCCACTGGGTTCAAAACAGATCTAATTCCACAGCCAGCGCCGCTGCCTGCCCCAGATCCACTAGGGCTGGTCGGCTCTGCAGGAACTTTCCTCTGTCTAGGGATGGCCCCGGCAGGAGGTTTAGGTTTGCGGGAAGGAGGTTGATGACGAAACCCTCCCGACAAGTTTTGCTTCTTTTCTTCGCCCGACGCAGGGCGCGCGTCCTTTCTCGCAGCCGGAGGAATGGGCAGCTCCAAAGAGCTGAGCCCTGGGAAGGTTAGGGCTGCAGCAGTCTGAGGTCCGAAGCCAGGAAAAAAATGTGTTTAAAAAAAAAAAAAAAAAAGAGGAAGAAGAAAGGAAAAGGGTGGAGTGGGAGGGAGTCACGCTGGAACCTATCGGGAGAGGGTTCCTCCGGGCTCAGGAGGAGGTGGCCCCAAGCCCCCGCGGAGCCCCAGGAGTTTGGTGGCGGAGGAGGCGCTGCCGTCGCCACGCTCCCCCGCGCTCCTTCTCCACACTTTGAGGAGGGAAGGCAGCTCGCAATTTGCCAGATCTGCCGCCGCACCCTCCTCCCTCCTCCCTCCGCCCTCCCCTTCGCTCCTCCAGGCTTCTCCCACCTTCCTCCCTGAAACCGGCAGCCCGCACAGACCTGTCCAATGGCTGCACTTTCCTCGGGGCTGGCTGAGGAGTCGCGGCCAACAGATTAAGCCGGGGGAGCCTAGCGAAGGGGAGGGAGAGGGCCACTCCAGCCCCGTGCGCCCCAGGCAGCCGGCTGCCCCAGAGCGCGGGGAGAGGGGACAGGCCGGGGAGCTATCGGGGGAGCGCGGGGCGGTACCTCCGCGCCGCCGGGGCGCCATCCTCGCAGCCTGCTCGCACGCCCTGGGCAGCTCCGCCAACTGCGCCCCACACCCACCTGGCTCCCGGGCCGCCTTCGCGCCCGACTGCGGGGGGCGATCGCGCCCCGCCCCGACCCTGGCGGGGTCTCCCTGGGCACGAAAGGGTTAACCACAGCTCGCCCCTTCGCGGAGGCTGGTTCTGGTAGTGGCTAGGGAGTGGAGAAAGCAAACCAGAGCCGGTTCGGTTACCGACTCTGCGAAGCCCCCTCGACCCCAGCCCAGCGCGGGAGGGTGGCGGAAGGTGGTGCACCGCAGCGTGGTCCCCGCCGCTGCCGCCGCGGCTTTGCAAAGTGTCAGCGGGGGCGAAAGCGAGAGTTTAAAGGAACAGGAGGCCCATTGAATTTCCTACCGGAGCTTTCAGGGGCTCTGGCTCCCCAGTTTGTTTTTGTTTTTTCAGCTCGGGGATCTGTTTCCGCGTTAACCCTTGCCGGCCCTCTCGTTAGTTGATATCTTATTTTGCATACAGTTAATCATTTTTGAAAGGGATAAATACAAGGAAAAGAAGCAAAGCGCTATTGGTTAAAAGTACAGGATCTAGAGCCCGGACAGCCTGGGCTGGAATTTCACCTCCCCCGCAATGAGCAGTTTATCTCCTAGCCTCAGTTATCCATCCATCAAATGGAGAGAATTAGAGTAACGCCCTTATAAGGTGGTTGCAATGGATTGGATGAGTTAACTGTATATTTAATAAATATAGAACATTGCCTACCGCAAAGTACATGGCTTTGTTTAAGTGTTTACTGAAGCAAAAGTGAGAGAAGACGACTTCAATCACATAATAAATGTGCATGTGTTCTAAGTTCAAGGTCCTTTCCACTCCAAGCTCTGAAGAGTCTATGGATGCTGTCAATAGATGTCTCGGCTTGCCACAAAACCCACTGGAAGTGGATCCGGATAATCAATCTACCTTTGCAAATGTGATGCTCAAAGGACGGCTCTCTCATGGGAAACAAGAAAGGTTTCCCTTAATCCAATACTCAATTTGCTCTTTATTTCCAAACAACAGATATACACGTATAAACACAAACATATATCATGCCTATACTCTTTATTATGCCAGGACCCTGGCTCTTTCCTGAGCTTTCCTCCCATAGGTTGATTTCTACTTAGGTAACTGGGTTTTTCTATTTCTGCTTAACTAGGAGTGTTTAAGTTCTATGTAATATTACATCCGAATTTGAGTACCCGGATATATACCTGCTTAAAATCAAGTTTGAAAACTGAGTCTTCTCATCAAAACCTGATTGTGCGGTTGACCCTTGAACAACAGGGGTTTGAACTGCGAGGATCCGCTTTTGCATGGATTTTCTTCCTCCTCTGCCACCCCTAACAGAGCAAGACTAACCCCTCCTCTTCCTCCGCTTCAGCCCACTCAATGTGAAGACGATGAGGATGAAAGCCTTTCTGATGATCCACTTCCACTTAATAAACAGTAAGTATATTTATCTTCCTTATGATTTTCTTAACATTTTCTTTTCTCTAGCTTACTTTATTTTAAGAATACAGTATGTAATATGTAGAACATACCAAATATGTGTTAATCAACTGTTTTTATATTATCAGTAATGCTTCTAATCAACAGTAGGGTATTAGCAGTTAAGTTTATGAGGAGTCGAAATTATACATTAATTTTCTACTGTGTGGGGGTCCGTCCCCCTGACCCCCATACTGTTCAAGGGTCAACTATAGTTTAATTGATGCCGATTCTTTTTGAGGATCATAAATCCATGCGGAAAGCGTCCCAAAATATTCTGCACAACTCCAGCTCCCATCATATCTAAAATAATGGGGAATCCAGCGGAAACCATTTCAAGAAAGCACCTCTTTTTTCAGACCGAGTTATTTCTCCTTCTTTCACAGTAGAAAAATAGGTGTTTCCTCCTCTGAGAACAAGCAAATCTCCACCTCTCCTTGCTATCATTTTCTTTCTTTTTTCCTTTATTATTTTATGTGCGTATTCGCAGGGTTCATTTTTCTTGTTACTTGCGGTCATCAATGCTTTGACCACCTGATTGAAACTATATACTTTTTGTAAGTAGAAATTTGATGTCAAAATTTGAAAGGGGGTAAATGGTCATTCAGGGTCAGTCAGGAAGGACTTTTATATGTTTGGTTATGTCACTGATGCTGCTGAATTGTATTGGTTTACTCCTATCTTAATTTTATTCTGAAGAGCTATACACATAGTAAATGCGGAAGTAAGGGAGAAGATACAAGTAAGCAAAACTCAATCATGCTTGATGAGATTTGCTGTTCAGAAATAAAGAAGAAAGAGCAACATTGTATAACAATAAACTCAAGCTCTGATCATTTGCCTTAAATGTTGATGAATGATTATTTTTTTAAAGTATATTCTGCCTTTACACTGTAGCAAGGAACGAATAAATAAAATGTATGTAGGACAGTATGTTCAGAGTGAAATGGAAAAAGTAGATTACTCATAATTCTGGCTAAACTAGGGTATTTTGTGGCCTAAATTATTTGGGTTTGCCATACACATTTCACCACAGTAGAAGTGTCTCTTTCCATTTTGTAGTAACAAAGTAAGTATTTGTGGAAGATGTTACATCTTCCATCTGACATGAGGGAGAGACGTAGTAACGGCTGTTTGTATTCACTATAGACATAGGAAAGGAATTGGTGGTTCTTTCACCTACTCTTAATTTTAGCTAATCTCTCAAGGAACAAATGAATCAGGAACCACAAATGAATAGCACTTAGATTCTTTGTCCATGACAAAGATCTGGAATTCATACGACACTCTCTCCTTTAAAATAATATATCAGAATCATTCTCAACAACATAGAACTTTGGGCAAAGATTAGCATGTGAGCTATCACTGTGTGGATTTCAAACCTGTTTACAACCCTTATCTCTACCAATCTTCAGAGAGATTTTTACACACTCCAAGTGCAATACTATCTATAGAAATGTACTTACAATTAATCACCTCGTATCATCTCTGTCTTTAACAATGTTGTGTTTCCTAGGACCTGTCCAAAATTGGAACTTGGCTAACAGGATGCTGAAGAAAACAGCATGCTCACTTGGAAATGAGATTCTATACATGCTGTAGAATACTTGGCATTTATTATAATCTTTTCTTAACTATTCAGGAAATAGTTTTTGTCCATTTTAACAGGATTTGTTAAAACTTTCTACAATTGCTGTCAGATAAAGGGAAATTGCTATTAGTGAAATGCTTTTATTCAGTCCAAATATTATGACCTTTCCTCTAGGTCTCAGCATTTCCTCTCCCTCCTCATTTGGTAAGGCTAATTTTTTGACCTCTGGTATGCAATTACAAGACTCATTTGTTCGTCTTGGCTGATCTGCTCTCAGAATAAACTGTAATTCTATTGTACTGTTGATGGATATTCCAGCTTTTTGTTCTTTATAGTTTTAAGGTGAAAATTTTATCAATTATGTGTTTGAATTGAATAAACATCTTTTTAAAACTCACTTAACAGCTAACATAACTCTTTTTAACTGGAGCATTTAACATACAAGAATACTTTATGCCTTTTAGCCTCATATCAATACTACATGTACTATCTAGATGAAATTAACAATATAGGCACATTCATAATGAAACAATATCCTGCATTAAAATGGCATACATCTTTATAGCCTCCTTTCTGAATCTTAATGAGCTAAAGTGGTTTTGACCAGTAAATAGCAAAGCATAAAAATGTGTAACTCAAAATGTAGAAAAGATATTAATAAGATGGAACACTATATTATCAAAAGGGGGTAGGAGCATTATGTTACATTTATTTTTAAATGGCAACATTGTATCATAGAAACTTAGACCATATTCCTAAATTGTACTCAAAGATAGGTTAAATTCCTGCATTTTGCAAATAAAGGAAAATGGGCAAGTGCTCAGCAAGCACTTAGTGAATTGAAAAATGAAATAAATGTGTTAAAGAATATGCTGTACAATGCAGAGTGATGGGGCACATGGAAAAGTTCTCAAGCGATTATTGCTTTGGACACAGTTGTCAGCCTTATAGCCTATCCACATTTTGCTGGTGGAAATATCTAAACTGCAGGAAATTTGACTCTCAAATATCAGCCCCAGGAGAAATTGTGTTTCTGCAGAGCCCCTAGTGGAGGCTGTTACTCCTGGCACAGGCTTCTTGTGTTGGAGGCAGGACTGCTCTGATTCACATAGGCACCACCACTGCCAGTGTCCACCAAAATGACTTGTACTGAATTTCCTTTCCTCATCTTGCATTCATCCTGTTTTCATTTGCCCTAAATTTCCAGTCTTTTTATTTCCATCTCTACAAAATTTTTATTGAGATATAATTTATGTAGCTTAAGATTCACCTTTTTAAAGTGTACATAATTCAGTGGTTTTTAATATGCCCACAAGATGGTAAAATCAAGACTACCATCTAATTCCAGAACATGTCATCACTCCAAAAAGAAACCCCATACCCATTAACAATCACTGCCCATTCCCCTTTCTCCTCAGCCCCTGGCAAACACTAATCTACTTTCTGTCTCTGGGAATTTGTTCCTCCTGGAGAGCTCACATAAATGGAATCATACAGTATACGGCCTTTTGTGGCTGATTTCTTTTGCTTAGCATAATGTTTTCAAATTCACCCATGCTGTTGACTGTATCTGTACTTCGTTCCTTTTTATTTCCAATATTCCATTGAATTATATTATGGATAAAAGATTAAGTCCATCAGTTATTGGACATTTGGGTTGTTCCCACTTTTTGCCTATTATGAATAACGTGACTTTAAAAATCTATGCACAATTTGTGTGAACATATGAGCAGTATGGTGACACTATAATTAACTTTGTGAGAAAATGACAAACTGTTTTCCACAGTGGTTGCACCTTTTTACTTTCCTAACAATGCATGAGGGTTCAAATTTCTCCTCATCTTTGCAAATACTTGTTTTTCATTGAAAAAAAAACTACAGTGATCCCAGTTGGTGTGAAGTGGTATGACATTCTGGTTTTTATTTGCATTTCCCTGACGACTATTGATGGTAAGCATCTTTTCTTGGGCTTATTGAGCATTCATGTATCTTCTCTGGAAAAGATTCTCTCTAAACCCTTTCTCATTTTTAATTCGACTGTGTTTTTATTGTTGAGTTGTATGAATTCTCAACATAGTCTGGATGTTGGGCTCTTAAAGTATGTAGGATTTGCAAACATTTTCTGAAAGAAATGACATAATATGGGTTGTCTTTTCGCTTTCTTGATAGTGTTCTTTGATGCACGTTGTTTTTTATTTTGATAAAGCAAGATGTATATATTTTTCTTTGGTTACTTCTACTATAGGTGTCATGTATAAGAAACTCATGCCTAATCCAAGGTTGATTTATGCCTATATTTTCTCCTAAGAATTTTATAGTTTCATTTTCATATTTAGTTCTTTGGTCCATTTATGTAAATTTTTGTATAAAATGTGAGGAAGGGGACAAAAATTATTCTTTTGCATATGGACATACAATTGTCTCAGCCACTTGTTGAAAAGATTGTTACTGCATTGAATGATCTTGACATCATTGTTGAAAATCAGTTGGCCATAGACATATAGGTTTATTTCTGGACTCCCAATTCTATCCCATTAATATATATGTCTCTCCTTATACTACACTGTTTTGGTTACTGTAGCTTTTTGGTAAGAGTTGAAATAAGGAAGTGTGAGTCCTCTTGCTATGTTCTGTTTATCAAGATTGATTTAGCTAGTCTGAATCCTTTGCATTTTCATATAAAGTTTAGAATTCGCTTGTCCATTTCTCCAAAAGAGGCTGTTGGAATTTTGATTGGGATTTAATTGAACCTCTAGATTAATTTTGGGACTGTTGCCATCTTGACAATATGAAGTCTTCCAATCCATGAATGTGAGATGTCTTTCTATTAATTTTCCTCTTCTTTAATTTATTTCAATATTGTTATGTAGTTTTGTAGCTTCAATGTACTAGCATTGCACTTGTTTTGTTATATTTATTTCTAAGTATTTTATTCTTTTTGATGCTGTTATAAATGAAATCGTTTTCTTAATTACATTTGTAGATTTCGAATGGTTCTCATATTAGTTTGCTAGGGCTGCCACGACAAAACACCACTGACTGAGTGGTGTAAACACTCACATTTCTGGAGGCTAAGAGTCCCAGATCAGGGTGCCAGCAGTTTTGGTTTCTTCAGAGGCCTTACTTCTTGGCTTGTAAATGCTCATGTTCTCACATGATCATTTCTCTGTGTACACATCTTCCTTTTTATTCAAATTTTCTTTTACCATAAGGTCAGCAGTGAGATTGGATTAGGAACCACCATAATGGCCTCATTTTAACTTGAACACCTCTTTTAATGCTCAATTCCCAATTACAGGCACATTTTCGGGTTCTGAGAGTTAGGCCTTTAACATATGAGTTTGGAGGGGCACAAAATCCAGCATATACCAGTTAATAGATAGGAGTACAACTTATTTTTTGTTTATTAATCTTGCAAACTTGCCAATTGATTGGGATTTAATTGAACCTCTAGATTAATTTTGGGACTGTTGCCATCTTGACAATATGAAGTCTTCCAATCCATGAATGTGAGATATCCCCACATTCCCAATGCATTTATTATATCTAATAGTTTTTTACAGGTGTGAGAATTTCTTAGGGGTTTTTTTTAGGTATAAGATCTTCAAATATCTTTTTCTTTTGTCTTCCTTTCCCATATAGATAGATGCCTTTTGTTATATTTTCTTACCAAATTACCCTGGTTAGAACCTCTGGTACAATGTTAAATGGAAGTGTTGACAGTAGTTGTCTTGTTCTTGATGCTATAGGGAAAGCTTTAACTCTTTCACCATTAAACATGACATTAGCTGTGGAGTTTTCACTGATGCCCTTTATCAGGTTGAGCAAGATTCCTCCCATTCCTAGTTTATGAGTATATTTATCATGAGTGGGTGTTGGATTTTGCCAATTTTTTTTTCTGCATCAACTAATAAGATTGTGCATTTGTTTCTTTTATTCTATTGGTATGGCATATTACTTGGATAGATTTTGATGTGTTGAACCAATCTTATATACTCAAGAGAAATTCTACTTGGTCATGGGATATGGTCCTTTTTCTCAGATACTAAATTCAGCTTTCTAGCATTTTAAAAAAATTCTGCATCCATATATGTAAGGGGCATTAGTTTTTATTTGTCTTTTCTTGTGAGGTCTTTGCCAGGTTTTGGTATCAGGGTAATACTACCCTCATTAGAATGAGTTAGGAAGTGTTCCTTCTTCTTTACCTTTTGGAAACATTTGGAAAATATGTGTTAATTTATCTTTAATCTTTTAGTAGAATTCACCAGTGAAGCCATCTGGGTATGATTTTTTGTGTGTGTGGAAATTTTTTCTTTATTAATCTACTGTTTCTCTTTTTTATCAGTCTTGTCAGATTTTCTATTACTGTTTGAGCCTGTTTCGATATTTTCTTTGTCAGGAATTTTCCATTTGTTATCTAATTTATTAGTATACAATTGTGTATAATATTCTCATATAACAATTTTTATTTCTGTATGGTTGGTAGTAATGTCCACTTTTTCGTTTCTGATAACTTGGGTGTTCTGTCTTTTTTCTTGGTAAATTGAAGTAAAGCTTTGTCAATGTTGTTGATCAAAAACGAAGAGTTTTGTTGACATTCTTGATTGTTTTTCTATTCTCATTCTCTATTTCTTTTATTTCCACAATAATCTTTCTTGTTTACCGCCTATTTGCTTTAGGTTAGCTTACGTTTTTTTCTAGTTTCTTAAGGTGGAAAGTCAGGTCATTAATTTTAGATCTATTCTTTTTAAATGTAGGCATTTGTAGCTATAATTTTCTCTCTGAATACTGTTTTTGCTGCATCCCAAGTTTTGATATATTGTGTTTTTATTTCACTAATCTCAAAATATTTTCTAATTTCCCTTGTGATTTCTTCTTTTATCCATCAGTCATTTAGGAATGTGTTGTTTAATATCTATGCATCAGAGAATATCCCAAATTTTCTATATTATTGATTTCTAACTTTATTTCATTTTGGTCTGAGAACATATTTTGTAAGATGTCAAACCTTTTACATTTATTGAGACTTGCTGTATTGACTAATACATAGTCTCTTTTGGAGAACATTCAGTGAGCACTTGAGAAGAATATATTCTGTTGTTTCACAGATGTTCTACAGAAGTCCACAGACATAGAGAATGTTCTGCAGATGTCTCTGGTCTAGACGGTTTATAGGTTTGCACAAGTCTTCAGCAGTATGTTTAATTTTGTGTTTACTTGTTCTAACCACTATTTAATGTCTTCAACTATTATTTTTAACTGTCTTTTTATCTTTTCAATTCTTTCAGTTTGTCTTTATGTCTTTTATGCTCCATTGTTAACTGCATATATGTTTATAATTGTTATATCTTCTCAGAAGATTGACTCATAATTATAAAAAGTTCTTTTGATCTCTGGTAACAAGTTTTGTTTTAAAATCTTTTATTGTCAAATATTAGTATGGACTCTCCAGCTCTCTTGGTTACTCTTTAGATGGTATATGTTTTCCTATTCTTTTAATTTTTTTTGTGTGTCATTGAATCTAAATTTTGTCTCTTAGAGTTAGCATATAGATAAACTTTGTTTTAAAAAAATATATTATGCAATATCTTCCTGTTAATTGGAAAGTTTAATCCATTTAAATGTAATATAATTACTGATAAGGTAAGTATCATATTTGCAATTTTGTTATTGTTTTCTTTTTTTGTTGTTGTTTTTTGATGGAGTCTTTCACTCTATCACCCAGGCTGGAGTGCAGTGGCACCATCTTGGCTCACTGCAACCTCCATCTTCCAGGTTCAAGTGATCTCCTGCCTCTGCCTCCCAAGTAGCTGTGATTACAGATGTATGCCACCACACCCAGATGATTTTTGTGTTTTTAGTAGAGACAGGGTTTCACCATGTTGGCCAGGCTGGTCTTGAACTCCTGAACTCAGGTGATCCACCCGCCTCAGCGTCCCAAAGTGCTGGGATTACAGGTGTGAGCCATCATGCCCGACCAATTTTCTGTATGTATTTTTCCCCATTATTTCTGACTTATTTTGTGTTTAACAGATATATCTTCTAGCATACCATTTTAATTCTTGTGTTATTTCTTTTCTTTTATATTTTATTTTCCTAGCAGTTGTCCTGTGGATTATAATTAGTATCTTAATTTATAATGATCTAATTTTAATTAATACAAAATTAATTTCAATAGCATACAAAAATGTTGCTCCTATGTAGCTTTGTTATCCCCCCCATACTGTTTTTAGCATAAATTACATGTTTATACATTGTGCACCCATCAACATAGATTTATAATATTGCTTTACACAGTTGTCTTTTAAAGTCAGCAGAAAAAATTACAAAAAAATAAACTTATACTGTCTTTTATGTTTATGTATGTAGTTGTTTTTACTGGTGCTTTTTAGAAAAAAAAAGAAAATTCATGTGAATTAGCATTACTATCTAGTATTCTTTCATTTTAGCCTGAGAACTTCTTTTAGTATTTCTTGTTGGGCAGGTTTTCCAATGATGAACTCCTTTGGTTTTTGTTTCTCTGGGAATGTTTTATCTTCACCTTTATTTTTGAAAAGTAGTTTTGCCTGCTATAGAATTCTTGGTTGATGAAGTTTTGTTTCGTTTCGTTTTCTAGCACTTTGAAAATATCATTTCAATGCCTTCTGGTCTCCAAGATTTCTGATGAGAAATTAAATATCAGTCTTATCGAGAATTCTGTTTATGTGATGAACCATTTCTCTCTTGGTACTTTCAAGATTCTTTCTTTTCCTTCAACAGCTTATTATGATATATCTAGATGTGGATTTCTTTGATTTTTTTTCGTGGTTGGAGTTTGTTGAGTTTCTTGGATATGTAACTTAATCATTTTCATCAAATATAATAAATTTTTCCAACTACTCCCTCAGATTTTTTTTCTGCCTCTTCTTTTGTCCTCTCATTCTGGAATTCTATTTTGCATCCATCGGTGCACTCAATGTCGTCCCACCATTCTCTGACAGCTGTTCATTTTTCCTTAATTTTTTCTTCTTTTTATCTCTCAGACAAAATAATCTCAGTTGACTGTATTGAAGTTTACTGATTCTTTCTTCTGACTGTTCAGATATTCTGGTGAACCCCTCTAGTAAATTTTTCATTTCAGTTATTATATTTTTCAACCCAGAATTTCTTTTTGGTTCATTTTTATAATTCCATTTATGAGCATGAATTCTCATGCTTTAAAAAAACTTATTTATGCATGGTTTATTGCAGGTTTTTGAAAATATTTGAAATAGTTTGTTTAAATTTTTGTCTAGTGAAACCAACATGAGCTTCTTCAGAGATAGTCTCTATTGACTGAATTTTTCCCTGTGCATGAGCCAAATATTCTTACTTTTTTTTTTGCATGTCTCATAATTTTTTGTTGGAAACTGGACATTTTAAACAATACAGTGTGACAACTTTATAAATCAGATTCTCTCCCCTCACCAGGTTTCATTGTTATGGCTGCTTGATATGGCCACTGTTGTTTACCTAGTAAATTTTCTGAACCAGTTTCATGAAGTCTGTATTCTTTGTTACATGTGGTCTCCTAAGTCTCTATTTGGTTAGCCAAGGGGTCAGCTAATGGTTACACAGAAGTTTCCACACACACACAAAAAAAATGGATTGAAAAATTATTTCAGTCTATTGCAAAGGGCTCTGTGTGCTTGTTGGGGTTAGCCTTTAACACTCAGCCTGGCAGTCCACAAATCTGCTTTAAGCCTTCACTTTCTGTTGACAGTCAGCCAGAAGTGAGTCCTTACAGCCTTATAAGGTCTTTCTGTAGCCTTATGCATGCATGTGGCCTTCTACAGTCCAGAAATACATTGTAGCTTCTCAAAACTCACCTAGGTATCTCATTCTTCAGTTTCTCCTTTTAAGCTTTTTGGTTAGTCTATTATTTGCCCCATCAATTATCAATCTCCATAGGCAGCCACAAAGGTAAAACTCTTGCTTATAATTGTTTCTGACAAATGCCCCCACACTCACCTGCCATATGGCTTTTAGTACTGGGAACGTGCCAAGTTACCTTGTAAGTGGGTCTTTCTGGAATCCTTCAGGCAGGTCAAATAAGGACAGATATTCAGGAATGACTCTTTGAAATGGCTCCAGCTCTGTTTGCTAATTCCAATAGCTACCAAGGTGCACCAGGAATGCAGACTGTTATTTTTTATGGTTGCCACTGAGCTGAAGAGTAAGACATAGAACTAGAGCATGATAAAATTCCACAAAACTCCCAGGTTTTTGTTGAGTATCTATTTTTTCTTGAATAAACACTTTCTGGGTTCTTTCAAGCATTTGGTTAATTTCTAGAATCCTGAAAAGGATGATTCTGTTACCTTTGCCAGTTGCTTTTCCAGAGGAGAAAATTTTTGAGATCCTTATTCTAACATTTTTACTGATGTCACTCCTGCACCGTTTTAAATAGTCTGAAAACTTTAGAGATTAAGGACATTTATAAAAAAATAAATTTGAAATAATTAAAGTATAACAAGAAGAAGATACAGTACGTGAAGTTATAATATCTAGTTTAACTTTAACATTAAAGTAAGTTAAGTCCTTCAAAATATGTGGGGATAGAATAGCATCACATTTGTACATTCTTTTGATTTAAGAATATTTGTTAAGAGATTTAAAAAATACACTAGTTCCCCCCTACCTTTTTATGCATTTTGGTTTGAAAATGTTAACATATGTCATAATAGAAAATATTTATATCTTTAAACTCATTAACCTATACTGCCTGCTCCTACACAATGCAGCACTGCAAACTACTGCTCGGCATCCCTTTGAATAATTTTTAACTAAATAAGTATTAACTTTTAATCTGTAAGATAAAAATGAGTTACATCAGGCCAGGCACAGTGACTCATGCCTGTGATCCCATCACTTTGGGAGGCAGGTGGGAGGATCACTGAGTCCAAGAGGTCTAGACCAGCCTGAGCAACATGGCAAGACCCCGCCTCTACAAAAGTAAAAGAATTAGCCAGGCTAATTCTCTGTGTGGTGGCACATACTTTAAGTCCAGCTTGAGCATGGGAGGCTGAGGCTGCAGTGAGCCATGATTGTGCCACTGCATTCCAGCCTGAGTGGCAGAGTGAGATCCTGTCTCAAAAAAAAAAAAAAAAAAGAAAAGAAAAGAGTTGCATAGATGAAAGTTGACTTCTGAGTTATTAGAAATCTTAGCAAATAGTTCAAAATAGTTCAAATAAATATATTGATTTATTTTCTCACTTGACTTCTTATCGATGTATTCTTGTAAAACATTAAAATCTTTTATTAATCAGTCCAGTCTCAACAAGTAAACAGATGTAGAGCATGTTATCATATTTTGAACATTTCTTAAAAGAGGTAGATTCACCTTAAACACATTTCTTTATACATAGATGTTCACTAAAATGAATCATTAAAGTGATTTATTTTAATAGCTCTTTTATCACTAATGGATGTTGACCTCAGCCCATTATTTTGTGCTTCTCCATACTCTTTCTGGTTGGATTTTAGCATGTTTCCGAAGTGATCCTAAGATCTTAAATGGGCTAAAGATGTTTCAAGTTCTCTAACATCCTTTTATTGTGATAAAATATGCATAACATAACATTTAGCATCCTAACCATTTTTAAGTGTAGAATTTAAGTGGCAATAAGAACTTTCGCATTGGGCCAGGTGCAGTGGCTCACACCTGTAATCCCAGCAATTTGGGAGGCCAAGATGGGCAGATCGCTTGAGGTCAGGAGTTCGAGACCAGCCTGGCCAACATGGTAAGACCCTGTCCCTGCTAAAAATAGAAAAGTTAGCCAGTTGTGCTGGTGTGCACCTGTAGTCGCAGCTACTCAGGAGGCTGAGGCAAGAGAATAGCTTGAGCCTGGGAGATGGAGGTTGCAGTGAGCCAAGATCATGCCACTGCATTGCAGCCTGAGTGAAAGAGCAAGACTCCATCTCAGAAAAAAAGGACTTTCTCAGCGTTGTGCAACCAACATCATCCTCTGACTTCAAAACTTTTTCATTATCCCAAAGTGAAATTCTGTGTTCATTACACAATAATTCCCCATTCCACATTCCCCCATCCCTTAATAACCACTATTACTTTTCTTCTTTATGAATTTGACTAGTCTAGGTACCTCATATAAATGGACTCATATAATATTTGTTCTTTGGGGTCTGGCTTATTTCACTTAGTATAATGTCCTCAACATTCACCCATGTTGTGCCATGTATCAAATTTCATTCCTTTTTAAGACTGAATAATATTCCATTGTATGTACATAACACATTTTGTTTATCCATTCATCCATCGAAAGACATTTGTCTAACCTCCTTTCTTGATATGATTTTAACAAAACAATGGCATACAATTAGTCCATATGTTCAATCCAAAACTAACTTGGAAAAGAAAATTATGCTAGCAAGTGAAGAATAAAACGCATTCCGTATAAATCCCTTAGGCCACATTCATATTTCAAGATACCATATCTACATGACTAGAATGCAGATACACTTGAGATTTTGTTTACCTGCATATGAACCATTCAATACTGACTGCTGGCTGAAAATTAACTTTTACTTGCTCTTTTATTTCATGTAATAAACTTGGTGTAAAAATCTCTATTCTCAATATTAAGATTTGTAAAACATATACACCAAAAGTCTTAAATACTACTTAATAATATATTCTTTATAGCAATGGTTTTGCAATATACCAATTTTAATTTTTTAAAAGACTAATTAATCCTGTTTGTTTGCTTTTTAGTCTCGTTACTCTGGTTTCATTCTTGCTCTAACCTACTCTTCTACTGTCACTTTCTTCAGAATTTTCCTGGCAATCTGTTTTTTCCCCTAAAGCTCTCCTTTGCATCCTCAAATATTACTACTTTGTTTCTTAAGATATTGCACTTCCATTTCTATTCTATTTTTCTTTTATCCTCAACTAAGACAATACCACAGAATTAGTTTGCTATAAACATATTACTGCAAGGAAGGAAATTTAATATCAATGTGATTGCAGATATGAACCATTTCAATGTGAGAAATGTTACTGGATTATCACAACATATCCACTTTTATTAAGGAATGAAGGCTAAATGTCACATGGGACATGGATAATTAAAATCAACATATACAAGAGTCAAGATTGCTCATGTAATGTGATGTGAAAGCTTCAGAAGGCAAGAAAAGGCTGTGGTGAAAACTCTTTCTGCTGTGTATGCAGCCAATTGAAACTCGATGGCTTCAGCAAGTTCCTGCACAGTCACATCAACAGGCTAATATCAACCCAATCATCTCAGGGATTCTTCACTGTGCCTCTTTTATGGCCGGGATGAAAAGAAAAACCTATTTTTTTTTTTTTTTTTTTTTTGAGGCAGGGTCTCACTCTGTCGCCCAGCCTGGAAAGCAGTGGCGTGATCTTGGTTCACTGCTGCCTTGACCTTCTGGGCTCAAGCAATCCTCCCACCTCAGCCCCTAGGTAGCTGGGACCACAGCACACACCACTACACCCAGCAAATTTTTGTATTTGTTGTAGAGACAGGGTTTCACTATGTTGCCCAGGCTCGTAAACCCAGAATTTTATAGGAAATCATATTTACTTCACATGTGATGCTTAGCAGATCTGAACGTATATTTCTAAATTTAAAAACAATATAATGTTCCTCCTTGTTCTGATAAATAAATAAATAATTTAATGTATTAAATAATTAGATAAACAGTGTTATACTAGGAGAGAATTCGTAGACAAATATTTGGGAGATCAGCTTAGAATAAGCTAATAAACAACCCCTCATTTTAATGGAACAAGTTGAAAATATCTTTCAGATTGAGTTGATGCAGATGGCACAGGCAAGTCAGGCAGAAGACTTCTTTTCACAGTTTATGAAACCAAATAGAACTAAGTAGCATCTTTCAAAAGAGAAATATACAAAATCTTGGCTCAGAAGGCATTATGCTCCAAAGGTCCATGTCTGTCATTTTTAATTTTTAACCTGCAACCTATATTCCCATTAGCAAATATGTTGTGATAAATGTTATGAAGTATGTCAACACCAAAGTAAGTTGCCAGGACAGTCTAAAATATGTTTTTGGCTCATAATAGTACTGAAATTGTACTTATAGCAGAAAAAAATTGACAAAACTAAAACATATAACCATTAGTTATATACATGGTTATATATGTATAACGATATAACATACATACTTAATAATATCCTACAAGTTAACTACAAAAAAAAGGATGGGAGATATTTCAGAGAAATACATATGATAATATTACATTGATCTAATAATAATATGATGAAAAGCCATGAGAGCAAAAAAGTAATATGTAACTTTCAAGTAATATGTTATTGTACACTTTGAACTTTCCTATAGCTTCGTATTGAGTTTGTCAGGGCCAAGTACTTAAGAAGTCACGGAATTTGGCCACCAATGCATTTTTCCAGTAGAAATAAGTATTATTTAATCATGACTAATTCACTGAAATATGTATGCACTATTTATTGAAATCCTGCAAAAGATGAAGGAACAGTGAAACTCAGGTATTCTCTGATCTACTTAAAATGACAGACAAATCACAGCGTAATTTGTGTATTAAAAGGCAAATGAAAGCTTTAGAATCTCTTAAGAGCATCCGAAAAATTTTAATGAATGCTAATGTGCTATTGTTAATGAATGTCTTTTGCACATAACTGGAAAAGTCTATTAGTTTCTTTTAATACTTGGAGGATTCCATTTATTATTAAAGAATTCAATACTCCCATTTTTTTCTAGTTCTACAGAATGTGGTCTGACATATTTCACTACCTGTGTGTGTTCTCTCTTTCTGGTTTAATTTTAGTTGCCCTGACTAAATCATCCATCATTTTTAGGATGATTTTTCTCCTTATTGGTTTTTGGGACTGCCTCACTAGCTTTAGCTATTTGCAAGTTTCTTTTTCTGATATGTCACTTTGAAAATAGTTCAGTGACTTTCTTACCGAAAATTTTTCTAATAGCATTTTAGTTTCAGTTCATTTTTCTATTTATTATTCTTTATGCTTTTCCTGTCTTTTCATTAGTCAGTATGACTTAGGTTTT
Source organism: Homo sapiens (assembly GCF_000001405.40). Classification (NCBI taxonomy): domain Eukaryota; kingdom Metazoa; phylum Chordata; class Mammalia; order Primates; family Hominidae; genus Homo; species Homo sapiens. Next base: position 19,799,700 of record NC_000010.11, on the reverse strand, counting down.
GAAATTTTGAATTTCTATCTCGATTTGGGGGCTTCAATAAAATAAACAGATCCCCCAAATAAAAAACATTATCTCTATATTTTCATTGTACATCTTGTAAATATTCCATAACCTCTAAATCCTGTGGTAATGAGAGGGAAGAGCTTTTTAATGTATTGGATTAAGATGATCATGTTAGTTACTTACTTTATTTTAGGGACTGGAGAGTTGATATGGTTTGGCTCTGTGTCCCCACTCAAATCTCATCTCTAACTGTAACCCCCACGTGTCAGAGGAGGGCCCTGGTGGGAGGTGATTGGTTCATGGGATCAGATTTCCTCCTTGCTGTTTTTGTGATAGTGAGTGAGTTCTCATGAGATCTCATGGTTTAAAAGTGTGGCACTTCCCCCTTCACTCTCTCTTTCCTGATGCCATGTAAAACATGCTTCCTCTTTGTCTTCTGCCATGATTGTAAGTTTCCTAAAATCTTTCCAGCCATGCAGAACTGTGAATCAATTAAACCCCTTTTTTTCCTAAATCAACCAGTCTCAGGTTGTTCTTTAACAGCAGTGTGAAAATGGACTACTACAAGAGTGTTTTGTATTAATCCCCTTAGACCATTCAAACTTTCTATTTTGTGTGGAAGGGAAAGCAAACAGATATATTGCTTAGGGACCTGAGAATTCACTTTTAAATTTACTTGATGAAGGCCAACCAAGATCAAAGTCTAGACAAGAAATGCTTGCACTACAGTACAGAGTGCATACACTATCCTTGGTAGTATCTGAACATGAAGATAGAGGATGTGTAAGAGGAGTAGGAGCAAACAACTCCATGCTTGAGTGGGAGGAAGTTCATTGAAAGATAAAAATCAAGAGGTAACATTTCAAAGACTCTGAAGATCTATGAGAAGCTATAACAACTGAGCATACTCTGGATAGATATATATATTAGCAAAAGATGGATCAGAGATAACTGACGTGTAGTTCTGGAGACAGCACCAAAGAATGATTCCAGATACAGGACAGGGAGAGATACAGACATAATATGATCAGAGGATAGACATAGAGTTACAACCACATAATGATCCCTCTCTTGGTTTCAAGTGATACCCAAGAGTCCTCACATCATTAACTAACCTCAAGACTTGTGTAGCCAATTTTATAAACTCTAAAATTAGATCCAAGATTAATAATGGCCACTTGACTCGGTATCTGCATTTTTATTTGATGCACATTGGTATCTGAATTTTATTTACTTATTTTTGAGATAGGGTGTCACTCTGTCACCCCGGCTGGATTACAATGGCACTATCATGGTTCACTGCAACCTTGACCTCCCAGGCTCAAGCGATCTTCCCACCTTAGCCTCCCAAGTAGTTGGGACCACAAGTGTGTGCCACCATGCCTGGCTAATTTTTGTTTATTTTTATTTTTTGTAGAGGCAGGATTTCACTATGTTGCCCAGGCTAGTCTTGAACTCCTGGGCTCAAGTGATCCTCTTCCCTCAGCCTCCCAAAGTGCTGGGATTATAGGTGTGAGCCACCATGCCTGGCCCTGAGGTTTTTACATAAATGTGATTCTCAACAGGATGAACTTGTCATTATTTCCTGCAAATCTGAGGATATTTTAGGAAAAGCACTCTGATCATCTGAGTGTTCTTCCTGCCCACTGCACAAATGAAAAGCATCCACTGAGACCACAGCATTACAGTAGAGAAAGAGTTTAACTGATGTGAGGCTGGCCCCTGAGGGAGAACTGGAGTTACCACTCAAATCAGTCTCCCCAAAGGCTTAGAGGTTAGAGTTTTTATGGATAATTTGGTGGGTAGGGAGCTAGGGAATAGGTGCTGCTGATTGGTTGGGGATGGATTCATAGGGGTGTGGAAAACAGTCCTTGTGCACTGAGTCTGCCTCTGGGTGGGACCACAGGATCAGTCCAGTCATGAGTCAGGAGTCCTGGTGGGGTCAGTCTGAAAGATATCTCTGAAAACCAATCTTAGGTTCTACAATAGTGATGTTCTCTATATGACCAACTGGGAAACTCACATATCTTGTGACCTTTGGCCACAGAAGCCCTGAGCAATAAAAGATTATAGAAACTATGTATATCTTATCATAATTCAGGTACCTCTCATAATCCTATTCTTGTGGCCTTTTATTAGTCTTCCAAAGGTGGTTTTGGGCCCCTGAACAAGGAGGGGATTAGTTTTAGGGAGGGACCATTATCATCTTTGCTTTCAAGTTAAACTATAAACTAGATTTCTCCCAAAGTTAGCTTGGCCCATGCCCAGGAATGACCAAGGACAGCTTGGAGGTCAGAAGCAAGATGGAGTCAACCATGTCAGATTTCTCTGTCATAATTTTGCAAAGGTAGTTTCAATTATATGTAGATAGAAAAAGAAATGATGTTATAGTTTTGCTTTTGGGAAACAAAAGAAGTCTATTTTTAAAAACACAAACTCCAAAATAAAATCTCAATTAATGGGAATATTAAAAAGATAGTTATTCCTTTTTGTTTGTTTTGTTTTGAGGCCATGTCTTACTCTGGAGACCAGGCTGGAGTGCAGTGGCACAATCATAGCTCACTGCAACTTTGACCTCCTGGACTCAAGCAATTCTCCCTCCTCAGTCTCCCAAGTAGCTGGACTATGGGTGTGGACCAACACACTTGGCTTTTATATATATATATATATATATATATGTATGTATGTATATATACACACACACACACACATATATATATATTTATTTTTTATTTATTTATTTTTTTGGGAAGTTGGGAGTCTTACCCAACTATCATGGCTCATGGCAACCTTGACCTCCCAGGCTCAAGTGATCTTCCCACCTTAGCCTCCCAAGTAGTTAGGACCACAAGCGTGTGCCAGCATGCCTGGCTAATTTTTATTTATCTTTATTTTTTGTAGAGCCAAGATTTCACTATGTTGCCCAGGCTGGTCTCGAACTCCTGGACTCAAGTGATCCTCCTTCCCTGGCCTCCCAAAGTGCTAGGATTACAGGCATGAGCCACCATGCCTTGCCAAAAAAGATAGTTATTCTTAATGGGGCTGTGGTGTAGCTGCCATACCCTGGAAGTGGGGTGTATGAGAAAGGAATTAGATTTTTATGCTTATTAAAAGAGAACATTAAATAGCACACAAAATATCAATCATGTATAATGGCTAATCAGTGCTGTTACACAACTGCTTGCAGGAGTCAGCATTTAAGTAGCTTTGAATGGCTTAGTATCAAATTGGGGATAGGACTAATTTAGTGACTCCATAAGGACTGCCACTGTGGGCAGTTCCATTCCTTGTCAATCATTATTTTAAAAAGAAGCCTCATGGACCAGGCACAGTGGCTCACCCCTGTAATCCCAGCACTTTGGGAGGCCGAGGCGGGTGGATCGCCTGAGGTCAGGAGTTCAGGACCAGCTTGGCCAACATAGTGAAACCCCGTCTCTACTAAAAATACAAAAAATTAGCTGGGCGTGGCGGGGAGCGCCTGTAATCCCAGCTACTGGGAGGCTGAGGCAGTAGAATCGCTTGAACTCAGGAGGCAGAGATTGCAGAGAGCTGAGATTGTGCCATTGCACTCCAGCCTAGGCAATAAGAGCGAAACTCCATCAAAACAAAACAAAACAAAAAAACCTTACAAAATACACAATAGAGATCCTCTGGTATTACACTGAAATGTACTATAAGGGAGCTTTATAGAGCAAACCTTAGATAAATCTGACATCAGCCCCTAAAGCAATGCTGCTTGGAGGTCCCTCCTTCCACTGCCTCTACCAGTATCACCAGATAGTCTTGTTTCAGATGCAGACTTCTGAACCACACCCGGCCTGGTGATTCTGATTCTGATTCAGTGAGTCTGACTCTGGGCGGAACGTGGGTAAGTACTTTTTTAACAAGCGTTTTAGGTGATTAAATGATGCAAGTCATCCTAACACAACACATCCAAAACAACCCTAGGTTAAAGACATCACAATAAATTTCCATTATACACGTGTATCTGAATGAATTTTTTATACTCTCTCCCGAATGTTAATGATGAATGAGGATAACCTTAAAAGAAAATGTACCTCTATAAAATAATAATGCACAATATTTATTATTTTTATTGTTTGTAGAGATGGGATTGCCCAGGCTGGTCTTGAAGTCCTGGCCTCAAGTTTTCTTTCTACCTCAACCTCTCCAGTAGCTAGGATTATAGGAGCAAACCACCGTGTCTAGCTAATGAATGATTTTTTTTTTTTTTTACACTTCTCTAGTGTCTACATTTTTTGTTTTGTTTTGTTTTGTTTTGAGACAGAGTCTCGCTCTGTTGCCCAGGCTGGAGTGCAGTGGTGTGATCTCGGCTTACTGCAACCTCTGCTTCCTGGGTTCAAGCCATTTTCCTGCCTCAGTCTCCCAAGTAGCTGGGACTACAGGCGTGCACCACCACACTCGGCTAATTTTTTGTATTTTTAGTAGTGACAGGGTTTCACCATGTTGGCCAGCCTTGTCTTGAACTCCTGACCTCAGGTGATCTGCTGGCCTCGGCCTCCCAAAGTGCTGGGATTACAGGCATGAGCCACTGCGCCTGGCATCAGTGTCTATATTTCTGAAGTGTGTTTTATTTGGATTAGAAAGTAAGAAGCATACATTAAAAATTAAATATGAAGCACATTCCTCTAAGATGAAATCCGTTTATATAATGAGTTGTTACTCAGAATTTAGGAAGGACAGTAACAGGTAAGTTGAAGACCAGCCCATCTTATTAAATGGCTCCTCCTTGATTATGTTTATATGTTACCAGTCAAAGCTTAAATCCTTTTGATTCTAAAACAATAGTTTCTCCTATAGGATTTTTTAGAGGTATTTAGGGAAACTTTCTTCTTCCTTGCTTCATTTATCAGAATAAGTAAAACATACCTACAGAAGGCGGTGCATTATTCATATTGTAACTATTTTAAACAGGGATATAATTGGTGTCTTGGAAAACTAGCCCTTTAATTACACATAAAATCTCTCATTGCTTATACATACATATAATGACATCTATTATTTGATTATTTATTTTAGCTTTAAACAACTTTTTAAATTATTGAAAGCAATGAAAAAACACATTATTCATGGCTTTATCTGAGAAAATAGTACAGACTGTAAGAAATAAATACTTTGTGTTTTAAGGGTTCACTGTTACCCAAATACTAATTTTTAGCTTTGTGATGTATGCTTTTGGTTATGTAAAATACTTCATAGGAATTAATTCAAATGCATCATTTAAATAGCAGTAAATTTATATCTTGTTTTTATATAAACTACATTATCTAAAACTTGTGTTAGAATATGTATTTATTTATTTATTTATTTATTTTGAGATGGAGTCTTGGTCTGTTACCCAGGCTAGAGTGCAGTGGTACAATCTCAGCTCACTGCAATCTCTACCTCCCGGGTTCAAGCAATTCTGCCTCAGCCTCCTAAGTAGCTGGGATTACAGCTGCGTGCCACCATGTCTGGCAAAAAAATTTTTTTTTTTTTTTAGTAGAGGCGGGGTTTCACCATGCTGGCTAGGCTGGTCTCGAACTCCTGAACTCAGGATCCACGTGCCTCGGCCTCCCAAAGTGCTGGGATTACAGGAGTGAGCCACCACGCCCAGCCTATTTATTTATTTTTTGAGGCAGGGTCTCATTCTGTCACCCAGGCAGGAGTGCAGTGCCATGATCTTGGCTCACTGCAACTTCCACCCCTTGGGCTCCAGTGATCCCCCAACCTCAGCCTCCCTAGTAGCTTCGACTACAGGTGCACACCACACACCTGGCTAATTTTTGTATTTTTTTTGTTGTTGTCGTTGTTGTTTTAGTAGAGACAGGGTTTCACCATGTTGCCAAGGCTGGAGAATATTTAGATCGACGAGGGTCTGATACTTGTTCTTCCAAATGAATCAAAGTAGTTGTTCAATAGAAACTGATACTGTCATATACACAGTTTGGAATGTAAAACTTATTAAAAAGTTACAGACCTTGAGAATATCTTATATTTTAGATGTTCTTTAATTTGGGGATTCCGATAGGTCACCCTCTAGTTTTGTGATATTCTACAGCTGGAATGAATCCTGATCCTCATAACAGAGCTGGGTTCTGCATAAGTAGAGAGTTCATCCAAATTATGATCAAGCTTGACAGAACCTCTTCTCAAATCAGATTGTGAAGTGGCCACAATGACACTTGAATAAAACAGTGGAGTTACAGTAAAGGGAACAATATCCTTTTTATTGCCTTTTCTTCACAGCTCAGAACAGAGACCAGTCTGGCTAATTTGGGAACGGTGACAAAATTAGTAACGGTTTGTAAATGCATAATTAGATGATTTTTAAAATTTTAACTTTTCATACTTTAAATGTAAGGTAAAATCAACAGTGAAAATGAAATGCCTATCTAGAAAAAATAGCTCCAATTAGCTCATTATTCAATTCTGCCCTTCTCTTTCTCATTCTTCCTTCTTTTAATGCCTGCATTTGCCTTTTCTTGTCTATGAAGATATTTTGGAGTCTAAAAGATTATTGTCATAAAGAAGCTATAATGTATAACCTTGGCTAGTTTCTTCAAGGGTGTTTTTAAGAATAAAATGAAACCTTGGTGCTTGCTTCATTAATATATATACTAAAACTGGAACAGCACAGAGATCAATATCGTCCATGTGCAAGGGTGGTTCACACATTTGTGAATCATTCCACATTTTTCAATCTTTGTGTTGGAAGAGACGAGAGTATGGAGGGAGGATGGAAAAGGGGATTAAAGGGTACTTCATCTCTATCACTAATATTTTACTTCTTATATTAATAAAAGTTCATCTTCACGTATGAATCTAAGTGTTAGTTGTATCTTTACTGATTTTTGTGTTTAAATATTTTTTAAAATATTACAGCAGTCATTTCATTTCCAAGTTCTTATTTCTTCCAATTTTATTTATTTTTTTATCTATTTAGAGACAGGGTCTCAGTCTGTTGCCCAGGCTGGAGTGCAGTGGCCCGATTACAACTCACCACAGCCTTAGCTTCCCAGGCTCAAGTGATCATCCCACCTCAGCCTCCTGAGAAGCTGGACCACAGATGTGTGCCACCACACACAGCTAATTTTTGTAATTTTGGTAGAGACGGGGTTTCACCGTGTTGCCTAGGCTGGTCTCAAACTCCTGGGCTCAAGCAAGTCTGCCTGCCTCATCCTCCCAAAGTCCTGGGATTACAGGTGTGAGCCACTGCTCCAAGCCATTTCCAGTTTTTTAATCTAAAGAAAATAAATCAGAAGTGTATGCCAAGATTTATACATAAGGATATTCACTTCAGCACTATTTATAATAGAAAAAAATGGAAACAAGCTAAAAGTTGAACAATACAGAAATGGTTAAGATAATTATAGCAAAGTTATGTGATTATTATACATTTATTTGGAAATCTTACTTTCAGTATGTTTCCTATTGCTGCTGTAATATATTACCACAGGTCTGGCAGGGTGGCTCACACCTGTATTCCCAGTTCTTTGGGAGGCCGAGGCAGAAGGATTGCTTGAAGCTGGGGAACTGGAGTCCGGCCTGAGTAACATAGCAAAAGCCTATCTCTACGATAATAATAATAATAATAATAATAATAATAGTAATAATAATAATAACACAAATAAAAAGCTAGCTGGGCATGGTGGCATGAGCCTGTAGTCCTAGCTACTAGAAAGCCTAACGTAGGAAGATGGCTTGAGCCCAGGAGTTCGAGATTGCAATGAGCTATGAGTGTGCTACCGCACTCCAACGTGCAGGACAGAGCGAGAGCCTGTCTCTAAAATAAATAAATAAACACAAACTTTGTGTCTTAAAACAACATGAATTTATTACCTTACTAGTCTGGTGGGAGGTCAGAAGTCCAAAATGGGTCTCCAGGGAAAAAGCAAGATATTGGCAGGGCTGCATTTCTTCTCTGGGGGAATACATTTTCCTTACTTTTCTCAGCTTCTGGAGGCTTCCTGCATCCATTGGCTCGTGGCCTGAACCTTGCATAGCTCCAGGCTTTTGCTCTCATTGTTACACTTTCTTCTACTGACTCTGATTCTCCTCCCTCTCTCTTGTGATTATATCATGCCTATCCAAATAATCCAGAATCATCCATCTCAAGGTGCTTAAATTAATGTCTACAAAGTCCCTTCTACCATGTAAAGTAAGATATTCATAGGTTCTGGGAATAAAGATGTGGTCAACAAACCAGTGGGAAATTAGGATATCTCTTCAACTTTTATAACATTTATAAACACATATATAAACTATTATGTACATATTTGGATGGAATTGACTACAAAGCAAATTAGCCCTTCTCAAAAGTTGTTTTCTTATTAACTATTATTTTTAAGCTGTGTAAAGTATAAGCCTGTGTTTGAAGTGCATCCTTCAGTGTGTAACATGAATTCTTGACCCAGTTATCAGGTGACTTCAGTCTCACATGTACATATCATGCAGGCTGGGATTTTTCCATTCATTTTGTTGGACAACACCCAGATACCTACTTTTAGAAATTAAGCAAGCACGGAAATGAATCATTTGTAAGTAAAGGTCTTAATCTGCCTGATTGGCACTTTCTTCTCTTTTCTATGTATCAAGGACACTTAAGTGTTAGAAGGAACAATCCGATGCTGTATCATTCCAGATATCTTTTAAGTCAGAGTATATGTAGTACACACCAAATGACTGACATGCAACTTTCTGGTCTCAACCATGAGATTAACAAAGACTGGATGAGATGAACAGAGACTGGAGAATTTATCATTTACTCTTCCATTTCACTTGATTTTCTTTTTTTTTCTTTAGTTATGCTACATGTTTATTCTTCTTCTATTACAGAAAATAGTCTATTGAAATTAACAAGTGTAACTATTAACACTATAATTTAAAGATTCATTAAAAAGCAAAATTTAGAGAAATTCAACCACATGAGTATAATAATCAATCATGCCCTTTTGGTGGTTTAAAATGCTATTAGAGTCTTTCCCTTCACATTTTGTGAGAAAATACAAGTCCTAATTTCTCCTCAAATACTAATGAGATATATGAAAACAATGTAATCTTTCAAAAGGCAGCCATTATTTTATGTATTTGTGCTCTGTGAGAACCTATTAATCTTTTAAAAAATTATTTGGTGGACATTTTAAAAATAAAATTTGGAAAGCCATCTGAATTTTGGAAAGGTGGGTAAAGACTGTCTCATTCTATCATCAACTATAATTTTATTACTTTCAGATATAATTTCCAATTATAATCCCAAGCCAATAACATGAGAATTATTAAAGCACAATTAACGATACATCAGATAAATTATCTTTTATTTTTTACTTACTCTATAGTGTCATATGGAAGCTGTGTATTGACTTTGAAACCAGAAATGTTAAATTCCATATTTTTAAATCCCAAATCACTGACACCTCTAAATAACTGTTAAATTGTTGTGACTTCTGTTGTTGTTTCCTATGTTTCTAGTTTCAATTGAAAGACCCGAGATCTAGATTTTACTTATTACCTGTGTCCTGGAGCTTGTCAGCCACACCCTCTGAGCATCACATTTCTCCTCTGTAAAGCAAAAATAACAATTCCTTCCTTAGTTCAGAAGGTGGTTGTAAAAATGAAATAATATAGAACCACATGGTAAACTCTACTGCAACTAGAAATGCAGTATTATTTTATATCAGAAATACTAAGTGCTTAGATAAGCATCCCAAATTTATTATTTCAGGCACTTGAAATCTCAGGCTTGGAATGTTACAATGAGTAAGTTATACCTCTTCCTACCATCCTTTCTCCATTTTGTCGCCAAAATTATTTTCTCCGAGATGTTATGCTCTTCACTAGAGTTCAGCCTCCTTAGACTGTCTTTCAAAGCAGGTTTCGGTACTGCCCACATTTCGTGGATCTTCTCCAGTAGCCCTGAAACTTGATGACCTGCCTTTAACCCAAGTCATCAAGTTTAAACCTGTATTCTTTCTGTCTCTGTTAACTTGCTCATGTAATTCACTTTAATGGAAATATACAGTCAACCCCTTCTGGTGTCTTCACTTCTTGCTCTATCCATTACTGAATATGTAACCCTATCGCCTTTGAGAGAAACCCTAGTACAGAATGTGCTCTTTCCTCTATATATGCCCACTGCTTTTTAAAATACCAACAGTTTTCAGGTCCATAATTTGTTTTCCAGAGCTCATATTTTTATCTATTTAATAAAGTTGGTACTCAGCTCAAGATGTTCTCAAATTGCCCTTATATCTTAGAGTGTGGAATCAAAAGATGAATCATAAATGAAAACTATCATGAAAGAGGATGAAAAAAAAAAGAGGGGAGGCAAAGTTTTGAGATGTTGGGAAAAGAAATCGCTATCCAGGATAGAGAAGAAAAAAAACTGGGGGGGGAGAAAAAATATATATACATATATAAACAATAAACAAAGAAATGAAACAATTCAATTATTCCCTCGGCTGTTGATTTTTGTTTGTTTTAATGGTTCCCCTGTGTTTTCTCCCGAGGATTTAAATAAGGCCTTTTTAAAGCTGGATCAGTGGGAAGAAGCAGACATTCAGCAGTTCTTGCTGCTTAATTTTGAGATGTAAATTCTTTGAATTCCACTGTTACTGAACATTTTCTCCTTTCAGTTAGTAAGGATAAGGAGAGTGGTCATGATTCAGTACCATTTTGGTGTCTCAGAGTTATGAGAAAATCTAGAAACATTTTGTTCATTGTCTTATTTTTAAGGAAGAGATCTTCTTTCACAGTTAATTTATCCACTGTCTTAATTATTTGAGCTTTTGTCACTGACACCCAAGGCACCACTGTTAAACATTTAGGAATTTATTAACACTTTCTTAAAAATCAGATAAAAATATGAAGTGATAGTCAATTTTGCTTTCAATTTTCAAGGTTTTCTTGAGGGAGCAATCTTCAATTTCATTTAATTTTACCCATGTTTTAAATGTAAAAATAATTTAATCCAGTGTAATAGAAAATATGAACATTATAATTCACATCATGATAATAACCCATTTATTTAGCATCTACTATATTTCAGGTGCTTCATATACATATATCTGATTCTCACAAAAATTTTAAGTGATCAGTATCTTAATACACAATTTATAAATGTGGAACCCAACTTTTTAAGTGAATATGTTGCTCAAAGTTATGCAGCTGATCAATGACAGAGCCACGTTTTTAATCCAGTGCAAACACACACACACATTTTCCACTATGCCATGCTGAATGAGCCAAGCATTTTAAAAATTATCAAATGTCTTCAAACTCTCTGTAGCATTTGTAAAAATGGGACAAAAGAGAACATATAGGTTCCAAAACCTCTCATTATTTAAAATTCATAGTAGAGATCAACCAACTCTTCTAACCTGTGGTATGTCATGCCTGCAGATACCTCTAGGTGTCACTAGCAAGCCTAACGCATAAGTAGAGAAAACGCAGAAAAACAAGGAGATAGAAGAAAAGAAAAACAAAGAGAGAAATAAAACAGAGCATACCACCACTAATTGGCTACCAGAGACCCCTGTTGGATAGATCTACTTTCATATCAAATGCATTTTTGAAAATGTGTGTGAAAGTCTCATTCACATTAATCAGATAATAGTCAAATATGGGAAGAGTTTCTCTTCCCAGAGAGTTTAAAGAAAAAATAAAAAAAAGGCAACCTCTTTTTGTTACATTTAATCTTCCATGATAAAATTCCAACATTTTATACATATTAAAGTTGGTTTTTTTTTTGTTTTAATTTAACAACCAAATACAGGGTAGACCTACTTAAATCTAATCAGAATCTGGTTAAGATATATATATATATATTTAAAACTTTAAAAATTTTCCACTGCTATTTAAAATGTATTAGGTTTATGAGAGCTATAGTTCTTGTCAGCCAAGTCAGCATGTTTTGTTTTTCAGTTTTCATATTTTTTGTCAAGCAATAAGGACAAAATGCAATAAGATTAAAATAAGTATAAAAACTCTGGTGCACATAAATGGTAATGTCATTAAAAGGGAATAGCCAAAGAAGAGTTCTTTTTTGTGATAGCTTAAAATGTGCGTCCGCTGCTTATGAAAGTCTGAAATCAGAATTCTGAAGGTCATTTAAAGGACATAGATGTATAATTTGTGAAAATTAAACTTCTATGGAAGATGAACACATTTAGAAAAAGGTAACTGCCTATAATTATCTACATTTTGTCTCCTTGGTTCAATCTCTCTGAGGCCACCTGGTGTTCCTTTAAGTATAATTTATCAAAAACAGGACTGCATTTTAAAATCTGAAGTAGTGAAAAGTTCACTTCATTAATTCAGGGTTTTTTTTGTTGGTTTTTTTTTTGTCTAAAAGGCAAATGCCCTCTTCCAGACACCATGGAAAAATGTAAGAATGGATCAGACTGAGTCTTATCTCAAGGAACTACAAACCCTAAATCCATGAGAAGGCAAAGACTTTTTTGATATTGCTGAATTACACTGGAAGACTGGGTGGTAAGCCTTCAACAAATAATGGTTAAGTGGATGACTATGGTCTAAGAAGGGGAATGTATGCTATATAGACGTAGAAAGGAAGGAAAGAGAAAAAAAGAAAAAGAAAGGAAAGAAAAGGAAGGAAGGGAGGGAGGGAGGGAAGGGAAGGAAAGAGAAGGAGAGACAATACTAAAACTAAAGTACTTAGAGCCAGGGGGAACTTTAGCAGTTACATAATCTATGAAAAACCAGTCCAAGGTATTCCATTTAATAAGTGTTAATAAGTGATTGAATTGAGAATTAGTGTTTCATTTATAGTTCTCAATACAATGTTTTCCCAACAATGTAGTAAAATAAACAAATATGTACTAAATACCCAAGGTGAACTGAGGCAGGATCAGGCTTTATAAAGGATATAGGAAAAATGTGACTAGATTTCTTTGCACATTACTGTGTTTGCACAATAAATGGTAACTATCATTTATTAAGTAGTTCATGTGTAGAATTCTGAGGATGCCTCTTATTAATAAAACTATAACTACAAATACTTCTCAAGAAGTAAATAGGAAAATAAGAGCAAAAGGAGTCAACATATTTTTATTTTCTTTATTTTATGTATTTATTTAACTTTTATTTTAGGTTCAGAGGTACATGTGCAGGTGCGTAACATAGGTAAATTGGTGTTATGGGGGTTTGGTATACATATTATTTTGTCACCTAGGTACTAAGCATAGTACTGGATGGTTACTTTTTTCAGGTCCTTTCCTTCCTCTCACCCTCCTCCCTCAAGTAGGACCCAGTGTGTGTTGTTCCCCTCTATGTGTCCACGTGTTCTCATTATTTAGCTCCCACTTGTAAGTGAGGATGTACAGTATTTGCTTTTCTATTCTTGCATTAGTTTGCTAAGGATAATGGCCTCCAGCTCCATCCATGTTACTGCAAAGGACATGATCTCATTCCTTTTTATCGCTGCATAGCATTCCATTGTGTATATGTACTATGTTTTCTTTTTCCAGTCTACCATTGATGGAAACTTAGATTTATTCCATGTCTTTGCTATTGTGAATAGCACTGCATTGAACATACAAGTGCATGTGTCTTTATGGTAGAACAATTTATATTCCTTTGGTTATACACCCAGTAATGGAATTGCCAGGTAATATGGTAATTCTGTTTCTAGCTCTTTGAGGAATCTCCACACTGCTGTCCACAATGGCTGAATGAATTTATACGTTCACAAACAATGTATAAGGGTTTCCTTTCGTCCACAACCTCACCAGCATCTTTGACTTTTTAATAATAGCCACTCTGACTGATGTAAGACAGTATCTCATTGTGGTTTGATTTGTATTTCTCTGATGATCAGTGATAATGAGCTTTCCTTTTATATGCTTATTGGCCATTTGTATGTCTTCTTTTGAGAAGTGTCTGTTCATGTTCTTTGCCCACATTTTAATGGGGTTGCTTTTGCTTGTAAATTTGTGTAAGTTCCTTGTAGATTCGGGATATTAGACCTTTGTCAGAAGCACAGTTTGCAAAAATTTGTTTACCATTCTGTAGGCTTCCTGTTTACTCTGTTGGTAGTTTCTTTTGCTGTGTGGAAGCTCTTTGGTTTAATTAGATTCCATTAGTCATTTTTTGCTTTTGTTGCAATCGTTTTTGGCATCTTCGTCAGGAAATCTTTGCTCATTCCTACATCCTGAATGGTATTGCCTAGGCTATTTACAAGGGGTTTTTATAGTTTTGGGTTTCACACTTAAGTCTTTAATCTATCTTGAGTTGACTTTTGTATATGGTATAATAAAGGGGTCCAGTTTCAGTCTTCTGCATCTGGCTAGCCAATTATCCCCAGCACCATTTGTTAAATAGGAATTCATTTTCCCATTGCTTGTTTTTGTCAGTTTTGTCAAAGATCAGATGGTCATAGGTGTGCAGTTTTATTTCTGGGCCATCTCTTCTGTTCCATTGGTCAATGTGTCTGTTTTTCTCCCAGTACCATGATGTTTTGGTTACTGTAGCCCTGTAGTACAGTTTGAAGTCAGGTAATGTAATGCCTCCAGCTTTGTTCATTTTGCTTAGTATTGTCTTGGCTATTCAGGCTCATATGAATTTTTAAATAGTTTTTTCATATGAATTTTTGGTTTCATATGAATTTTTAAATAGTTTTTTCTTGTTTTGAGAAGAAATGCCATTGGTAGTCTGATGGGAGTAGCATTGAATCTCTTCATTCCCTTGGACAATATGGCCATTTTTAACATTATTGATTCTTCCTACCCATGAGCATTTGTTTGTGTCATCTCTGTTTTCTTTGAGCAGTGTTGTATATTTTTCATTTTAGGGATGTTTCACTTCCCTGGTTAGCTGTATTCCTAGGTATTTTATTCTTTTTGTAGCAACTGTGAATGAGATTTCATTCCTGATTTGCCTCTGGGCTTGGATGTTGGTGTATTGGAATTTTATTGATTTTTGTACATTGATTTTGTATTCTGAAACTTTGCTGAAGTTGTTTATCAGCTAAAGGAGCTTTTAGACAGATACTATGGGGTTTTCCAGATATAGAATTAGGTCCTCTGCAAACACAGATAGTTTGTCTTCCTCTTTTCCCATTTGGATGCCTATCAAAGTAATTTTAAATAGCACCATAACATTTATAGACTTTGTCACACTATACATAATATTTATCTTGGTTCTTTTCAATAAACAGCTTACTAAACATCTTTCAATGTCATGAGGCATTTATTTTTTAAGATAAACTAAGGCTATTAAATGTTTCTTTTTAACTTCAGTTATACCGTATCTCTAGTGTTCTTTGGAAGTCTTAAAGTTTTTCAGCTTTGATTTCTGAATGGTGCCTTTCCCTGAGGATGTTATCCTGTAGAAAAGGCAGATTAATCCAGCATATATCAAATAAGCTGCTCATTTTCCCTGAAGTAAGCTGAACAGCATTGCGGAGTCAGACCAAGTGCTGGAAAATACCTTCCTAGTATCTAGACAGCAATTGCAGGCATACTTGGGAACTTGCTTCAGAGAGTGGTGTTTTTCTTTGTTATTTGTTTTTATGTTTTTTTTTTTAATTCTTTTCTTATTTTTATGTTAGATTTGCTTTTAGGGTAAATAATGACAAAACATGAAATAAGATGGAGAAATATTTGCTGTAAGATCAAGCAACAATTTGAATTTTTGCTTTTGCTGAGATAATTTTTGGCATCTTCATCAGGAAATCTTTGCTTATTCCTATGTACTGAATGGTATCGCCTTGAATACCTGAATGGTATTAACATTCCAATACCTGAATGGAATTGTTATGTTACTTTACATAACAGCTGCACAAGGGACGCTCACTAGCACAAGAACGGCAAGGAGGAAATCCACCTCCATGATCCAGTCACCTCCCACCAGGCCCCTCCTCCAATTCCACAGGAGATTTGGGCAGGGACACAAATCCAAACCATATTGTGTGGCTAAATGAAATTATCCGTAACACCTGCCATCACAGTCTTAATAAGTGGTACAAGAATAGTCTCAGAACTCTTTGTTTCAATTGGCCATTTAAGTTTAATAGTAAAAAACTGGGTAATGATAACAACGCACCATAAAACCTTTAGAAGAAAAGAAGAATGTTTTGTGGACTATTTTGGCCTTTTCTGCATGGGGCAGTTTTAAGTTATTAGCTTTTAAAGTGAGTAATTTTTAATGGAAACAACTTGATCAAAAATCTGCCACAGAATTTTGAGACCCATTATAACAACATTTAATGAGAAAAAATTATATAGTAATCACTCACGTTTAACTTATGTACCTTTTCTAGAACTTAAAAAGTCTGGATTAGAATATAGATAGCTATGTTTATTTCTTAGCTCTCATTTCAGAATCACAAGTTCCTCGAAGTTATAATGTGGGTTGATTTGTTTGTTACCTGATGTTCCTACACTATATATTAAGTATTCTAGGTGCTGCTGCAAAATATTAGTTGACATTACTAATTAATTAACTTCAGACTTAAAAATTATACACGGCAAATTATTTAACGTAGTCACTAAATTAAACCTTTTTAACATTCAAGAGCAATCCATGTTTGCTAAAGAATATTGAGAATATTTAGAATAGAGTATAAGCCATAATAAGAAATCAAAATTGTTCATAGGTTCACAAATAAGAGATGCATTTGTTCATTCAACATTGTTCACCACCACAAGGGTTTAGGCTGGTCCCTTTGGGTACAGAGCTCAGACAAGCCCTACATTCACAATGCCTACGTTCCCATGGTGGGAGACAAACTGCAAACAAAATGAGCAAACAAAACCATAAAACTTGGAAGCAGTATGTTCTGGGGCAAAGATCACGAAGTGGGAAAGAATTTGATGTATGTGAAGCTTTTGTAGCTGAAGCAGAGGATGAGAATGGAATGAACATGTAGATGTTCACGAGGGCCAGTGTTAGGAAGTTGAATTTTTACTGTTAAGTACAAAAGGAAGCCATTGAAAGCTTTTAGATAGGGAACTAATGTCGCGTTATTGGAAGGAAATAAACCCCCCAAACAGGAAGGCAAAACCAAACCAAACCACACTGATTGCTATAAGGATGGTGGGGGAGCAAAACTGGATCAAAAGAGCTCCAACAGGAAGCAGCTGCAATAGTGCGTCTATCTAAGAGATGATGTGGCTTATGTTAAGGGGATAGCAGAGGAGGAGAGAAGATGATACAGTCAAGATGTATTTGGGAAATAGAACTAAGAAGACTTGCTGATAGACTGGAAGGGGGTAGGAGGAGAGAAGAATGATCCTGGGATATTTTACTGGAACACAAAGTGGACAAGAGTTCTGTTTCCTGAGATGGCAAGGGCTGACGGAGAGTTAGTGTGGCAGAGACCTGTGCTTTTCATGCATTACCAATACTCCCTTTCTTTCTTGGTGTCAGAATTCAGATTTTATTAAGGATGGGAATGGATCCAGCCAAAATCCATTGCTGCCTTCCCTTTCTTGAAGCTAGGTATGTGGCCTTCAGCTGGGTTATGGACAATGAGATACACATACTCAGAAGTATCATGTGAGATTTCTATAAAGGTGTTTGAGACTACATGATGTGACCCTTTTGTATTAAAGCTAAGCATACGTTCATCTGAAAACGTAGCACTTCTTTTCTTAGATAAATATCTAGCAAAAAATGCATACATATGTTTACCACAAGGCAAGTCCAAGAATATTTAAAACAGCACTCTTTCTATAACTTCAAATTAGAAACAGGCCAAAATGCCCATGAACAAATAGAATGGATAAGTAATTTTTGGCATATTCATTCACAATGAAAACTGCTGCAAAATGCCACAAGATGAATGAATTTCACAAATATAATGTTAAACAAAAAGCAAGATACAAAAGAATACATATTATTTCATTTACAAAGGACAGTAACTAACATATGATGTAGGAAGTCAAAGAGTAGATAGCAATGGGAAGGCGGTGGGGTTGATGATTGGGAGAAGCCATTGGGGGAGGTTTTAGGGGTACTGGTGATGGTCCATGTTTTTATATGAGTGCTGTTTTCATAAGTCGTCATTCACTTGGCAGAGTGTCAAATATAATAGGCATTCATTAAAGACATGTGTTGAATAAACTTGTTGAATTTAAGGTGAGAAGGAGTTTTACCAGTGAGAAAATAGCTGTTGTATTATTGCAGTACTCCATAATAATTTATACTCCTACTGAAACAAAAATAACAAACGTGGTTAGGTTGTGCTTCACATATTCTTTTTAAAGCAAGAAAATATTTGTCAACCATATATATTTTCCACATTTTGAATATTTAAATTTGCAAATTCCTAATTTCTGGAAAATTTCTTATTCAGATTATTTCTTCCCTGATTATTCTAGATTAATGAGGTAGTGGGGGTGAAAACATGTACATTGGTCACTAAATGTGTTTCTTGTGGTAATATCCAAGACAAAATGGTTTTCATTAAATTTCAGAAATGCAATGTTAAAGTTAACTCTAGAAGTTTTAGAAAGTGCCAGGAGAGAAAAATAGGAAAGCTTAAAAATGTCCCTAAAATGATAAGGCTTTCAACTCCACACTAATAGATTCTGAAGAATAAATTGGAATGCTTGGGAACTGTTACATGACAAATGAGAGTACAAATATTTTCTTTTTCTAAATGTGCTAAGAAAAACAAACAAACAGAAAGATAAATACTTCCTGAAGAACAACTAAGCCATAGAAATTCAGAACATTTCAAATTTATGAGATATTAAAGCCAGGAAGTATTGCACATGAAATAAATTCTAATAATCTTAGAAAAAAATTATAATAATCTTTTGTCTCCATGGTAAAGGAAGGTGATGGATTTCAAAGGGAAAGGAAAAAAAAAAAAACACATTTGCACTTTCATGTTCTTCTTTCCTATAACTAAATTTCAGATTTTCTACTTGCAGAAATGGAGTGAATTCCCTTTTGTATTATAAGGTTAAGGAAGAAGGAAATCATTTGAACTCTCGATTATACTTTGAAGTGGACTCTGATTGTAATAATACTTTATAAACATTCAAACATCCCCAAAAGGCTATTAATAAATAGTTATCTTAGATTTAACAACAAACAAGAACCCCCTAATGTTTCCTAACTACAGATTACATTTCCAGTTCCATTTAGCCAGCCCCGCAAGGGTGCTCCTATTTAGAGGAACCAGGGGAGAGAGCAAATAATTTAATTCAGTGCAACCCATTCAACTCATTGAAAAACTACTCAAAGCATGGGACTTACCAATGGGTATCTATAGTGTCATTGATTGTTTGTTATTATTACTATGGAATGTACATTATGAGAGGCCACTGGAACTCATAGTTCAGAATACAAATTCTAGAGGCAGATAGAGTTTGAATGCTGCCTTCACCACTTTTAAGCTGTGAATTTGGGTAAATTGCTCAACTACTGAGGGCCTCAAAGTCATTAACTGAGAAATGGGAATAACAGAGTCATATGTCACTTCTTGATGGGAATACATTCTGAGATATGCATCGATAGGTGATTTCGTTGTTGACAAACATCCTTGGGTGTACTTACACAAACCTAGATGGTAGAGCCTCCTACACATCCAGGTTATATGGAATGAATAGTCTGTTGCTCCTAGGCTACAATATCGCACAGCATGTTATTGGACCGAATGCTATACGCAATTGTAACACAATGAAAGTATTCATGTGTCTGAACATAGGAAAGGTACAGTAAAAGTATAGTATATAAGAAATAGTACACCTATATAGGGCAGTGACCATGAAAGGAGGTTGCGGAATTGGAAGTTGCACTGGGTGAGTCCATGAGTGGGTGGTGAGCAATGGCCTAAGACATTAATGTACACTACTGTAGCCCTTATAAACACTGTATACCCAGACTACGTTATTCAAAAATATTTTTCTTTCCTCATTAATAAATTAACCTTAGCTCACTGTAATGATTTACTATATAAATGTTTGATTTCTAAATTTTTGTCTCCTTTGCAATAACACTTAGCTTTAAAACACAAATACATTGTACGACTGTCCAAAAATGTTTTCTTTTATTATATCCTTATTCTACAAGCTTTTTTTTTCTTTTTAAAATTTTTCATTTTTAAATTTTTTACTTTTGAATTGCTTTTGTTGAAAATTAAGACACAAACACACATATTGATCTAGGCCAATACAGGGTCAGAAT
Source organism: Homo sapiens (assembly GCF_000001405.40). Lineage (NCBI taxonomy): Eukaryota > Metazoa > Chordata > Mammalia > Primates > Hominidae > Homo > Homo sapiens. Next base: position 19,779,540 of record NC_000010.11, on the reverse strand, counting down.
CACCAATTTCACTGTCTTCCACCTCCACATCCTGTCCCACCTGGAAGGTCCTTGGGGGTAATAATATGTATAGAAGTGTCATCTCCTGCATAAACAGTGCCTTCTCCTGGAATACTCCCTGAAATATATGCCTGAGGCTGTTTTATAGTTAACGTTTTTTAAGTAGAAAGAGTACACTCTATAATAATAATAAATAGTATGGTAAATGCATAAACCAGTAATAACATTGTTTGTTATCACTAGCAAGTATTATGTATTATACATAGATATGCTATATGTGCTGTATTTTTACATTACTGTCAGCACAATAGGCTTGTTTACACCAGCATCACCACAAACATGTGAGTAATGTGTTTCACAATGACATTAGGATAGCTACAGTGTCCCTAAGCCATAGGAAGTTTTCAGCTGCATTATAATATTATGAGACCACTTTTATTTATGCAGTCTGTCTTCCACCAAAACATTGATGGGAAGCACATGACTGTCTATTTACCTCATGGAACTACGAAGATTAATGAGTTACATGTAAAACATGTGCTTATTATCTAGCACCTAGTAAGTTCTAACAAATGTTAATTATCATCATTGTCACTTTTCTTGCTATTAGTCTGTAACCCAGAGAATAGGAAAGGTCAGAGACTTACAAACTTTGTCCTAAGAAAGAGGGATGCACGAGTCATAATTACATTGATCCAAGTAATCACAGCATCCCCTAGGGCTGCTGTGGGAGCAGAGCGTGGAAGAAAGAATCAGTCGCCAAAATTGCTTTCTCCATCACTTCCTGGTCTAAGCGGGAGTCTTCCACTACCACTGGGGCAGTTACAGCTCTTCCTATGGATGATGGGAAAAGACATGGGAAGCCCCACTACCTGCTGGACCAATCACTGTGAGGCTGAGAGATAAGACCTTGAGGCTAGGTGATGTGAGATGCATGATAATGACTGAGCAATGGGCAGAGAACCCAAGTGAGGACAGTGAGGGGAAAATGAGACTCCTGCTGAGTCTGCCATACCTCCAACAACTTTAAGGAGCTCTTTTTTTTTTTTTGATTGTGTGTTTGTTTTTGATACAGAGTCTCACTCTGTCACCCAGGCTGGAGTGCAATGGCACCATCTCAGCTCACTGCAACCTCCACCTCTTGGGTTCAAGTGATTCTCCTGCCTCAGCTTCCTGAGTAGCTAGGATTACCTTCCAAAGACTCTACCTCCAAATATTATCACACTGAGAAGTAGGTTTTCAACATATGAATTGTGAAGCAAAACAAACATTTAGTCCATTCTATGTATGTATGTGTGTGTGTGTGTGTGCACACACGCGCATATGTGTGTGTGTATATCTGGTTTCTTTTGCTAGGTAGGGTAGTGAGGGAGGAATAAGTAAACATAATGTGTCCTTATGCTTTTGATAAGGGTAAATTAATTCAACTTTCTAAGCTTCTCCCCTCTTTTTTATTTGTCTAAACATAGAATTTGTTTTGCCCAATGAGTCAGTTATGACGGGCCTGTCAAACACAGGAATAGACTGTTGCCAAATAGCCTCCAAAAAGCAAGTGCTGCTTTACAATATGAATGCATGCCAGCACAAATGCTCCTATATCGAAGCACTGAGCCAATATTTCTTAAAACCTATAGTAGACTATATGTTTTACATCAAGTTTAAAACAAAACAACAGTAATGAAGAACCCCAAATGCATTCTATGTAAGGCAGCATACTTAGCCTTGTTGTGGATAGAAAGACATGCAAAGACCCTACTCTCTAGGTACACAGAAAGAAAGTAAAAACACTGAGGAATGAGAGATATATTCATTCCTGCCATGCAAACCTGTGAATGTGAGCCATTCGTTTACCCCCTCTTGGTGAGCCCCAGTTTCCCATACATTCTCAAGTCCCAGGGTTGATCTGAGATAACGTGGTGGTTTTTCTTACTCTTGAAATTCTTGAAATCAATCTGACTAGAATGTATGCACAAGAAACGTAGGCAATAATGGCAAAACATAAGGGAGGTTAAGTGTGCAATGAGTGTTATCGCTACCGTGAGAATCCAGGGCAAAGAGTTCACTGCAGGCTGAGAGGTGGAGGAGAGGCTTCCTGGAGAAGGGAGGACTTCACTGGAAACTTCAAGACAGAGTACGAGATGGATAAACAGTGAAGACAGGATAGGGAGGTTCATTTGGTTGATGTGGCAGTAGGATTGTAGGTGATAAAGATGGAGGGTAATGACATGAGAAGAAAGTTTTGTTGAAAATTAAAAACCACAAGATAAGTTTGGGAAAATACGCTGCAACTTGTCTATGATTCACTCATTCCCCACTTTTCTGTGAAAAATCTCAAACAAAGAAGCATGATGCCTTGTGAGATGAACTCATTCTGGCAAGGTTATTAATTACTTATTTTCATAATTTTCTAATTGTGTTATATATTTAATAAATTATGAAACAGAATAATATTTTATAACATTTTCTAGTTTATTTTCTTACAGCAAATAAACAATAAATTTGTATAAAAAACCCTTTATAGTAACAAATAATGTTAAATATCCCATGAAAAATAACAAATAATACTTTAATAATTTTGTAATATATATAATTGGTCTAGATGTCAATAAATATTTATTTGGCACCTGCTATGTGTCAGGCTCTGTGGCAGGTGCTGGGACAGATACAAATCAAAATGCTCTCTGATTGGAGTAAGAAATAATTTTTCAAACCAAGAGTGAATGGAATAAGGAAGAAGTTATGAAACCAACAAAACTCAGTCAATAATATAATGCAAATAGGTCTTTCTAATAAATGAACAGTGTTTCGATTTATATGTACTTTATTCCAAAGAAACCTGACAAATATTTTTTGCCTTGATTTATTAACGTTGATCGATCCTGATACATAACTATTAATTTCATTCAACAAATATGTTTTTACAATATCACTGCAGAATATTTAAATTAGATTGATTATTCTTAGCTTGTAGAGGTGATCAAATTTATCATATAATTATTTCAAAATATCCATTTATTAGAAAGAAGGAAATAGAAACTTTGGAAGTCCCAAAAATGCCTACGAGCTCTGTTTCCTTAACTACAAAATAAAAAGGTGGTGACAGAATGATGACATTACTTCCTGGAAGAAAATTTTACAATGCCATGAATTTGGCAGGGCATATCCTTATCTATCAATTTTCAGACTTAATATGGTTTGGATGTGTGTCTACTCCAAATCTCAGGCAGAAATGTGACCCTAGTGTTGGAGGTGGGGCCTCGTGGGAGGCACTGGAACACGGGAGCAGATCCCTTATGAATGGCTTGGTGCCATCCCCCTGGTAATGAGTGAGCTCATGCTCTGAGTCCACGCAGGATCTGATTGTTTAAAAGTGTGGCCAGGCGCAGTGGCTCACGCCTGTAATCCCAGCACTTTGGGAGGCTGAGGCGGTCGGATCACATGATGTCAGGAGTTCGAGACCAGCCTGACCAACATGGAGAAACCCGGTCTCTACTAAAAATACAAAAAGTAGCCAGATGTGGTGGCACACGCCTGCAATCCCAACTACACGGGAGGCTGAGGCAGGAGAATCACTTGAACCCCGGAGGCAGAGGTTGTGGTGAGCCGAGATTGTGCCATTGCACTCCAGCCTGGGCAACAAGAGTGAAACTCCGTCTCAAAAAGTAAATAAATAAATAAATAAAGTGTATGGGACCTCCTGCTTCTCTCTCTTGCCATGTGATGTGCATGTTCTCCTTTGCCTCCTGCCATGATTGTAAGCTTCCAGAGTACCTCATCAGAAGCAGACGCTGGCACTGTACTTTGTGTATAGTCTGCAGAACCATGAACCAAAATAAAACCTCTTTTCTTTATAAATTAACCAGCCTCAAGTATTCCTAGATAGCAACGAGAAAACAGACTAACACAGAGTGTTTTGGATTTTCCTTGAAGAAACAGAAGCTATAGCAGCAGGCACACACAAGGTTAACTGCATAGCTGCTTTTCAGGGAAGAATTTGTTAGAGCAGATAGACTCAGACAGTGACATGAACAATGACACAGCCTTTTCACTTGTTATCTAAGTCCCTTTCCTTCCTCAATTCTCTGAGATTTCGCTTCTGTAATTTCTCTGAGTCTACAAAATACCCATCAGTTTCCTCCTACAAATGACTAAACAGTCACATTTTAATTTTTTAAGCAAAGTGTTTAATGTTAGCATTAACAATGGTGATTATTTGTGGGGTGTGGCTAAAATGGGATTAAGAAGATGGAAGAGAGGGGTGAAGACTTGGAAGCAGGGGACAGAGACAGGAGAGAGATGTCTCACTGTATATCTTTTAATGCTTTCTGGTATCTGAAGCACATAATTGTAGCCCCTTGACAAAAACACAAGTAAATGCCTAACAACAACAACAAAAAAACAAATACCTACCCCCAGCAACAATAACACATCTGCAAAGAACAAAATTTACCCTTCAATATGTATGGAGATTGTTAGTGTTAAATTATAATAACCAGAAGTTGCTAGTGATATATAAGTAAATTAGGTAAGATATTTCAACTGTGAACTTTTCCTGAAAAATATACAACCTACACAACATTTTAAATATTTCTAACGGCTGGGTGCAGTGGCTCATGCCTGTAATTCCAGCACTTTGGGAGGCCGAGGCGGGTGGATCGCTTGAGTTTAGGAGTTCAAGACCAGCCTGAGCAACATGACAATACCACATCTCTACTGAAATACCAAAATTTGCTGGGTATGATGGTGCACACCTGTAATCCCAGCTACTCAAGAGACTGAGGCACAAGAATTGCTTGAACCCAGGAGGCAAAGGTTGTAGTGAGCAAAGATCATGCCACTGCACTCCAGCCTGAGCAACAGAGCCAGACCTTGTCAAAAAAAAAAAAAAAAGAAAAAGAAAAAATCTGCTTATGTTTTAAAATATTTACTTAATTGACATGTTTACACCATTAGCTATCTTCCCAAGCCCCAAATGCCTCAGATCATATTACTGTCACTCTACATTTGTGGGAAGGATATCAGTCTAATTCCTGACAGCTTGAGCTAAGGTTAAATATTGCATGCTATTAGTCAAGTATGATTTTACATATGATAATTCACAAAGAAAGCCAACATTTCTCAAGTATTTTCTATTAAAAGAAAAGCTCTCTTTCAATTCTTTCTAAAAGTAAAGAAGAGAGGAGTTTTACTCATTTTCTTATTACATGCTGTTTTTCTAGTACAGAAAACATTTTAAGTACTTTTGCCATTCCTGGGATCTAAAAAGAGTGGTAAATAAAAAACACTGAATGATTGTGGCTGCTCTAATGCCTTACATCTCTAGAAAGTCTTCCATAGGCAACTTCAAATACATTGCATTTAGAGTACTACAGTACTATCCTTATTTTACACACAAGTCAACAAAGACTTAAGAGGCTAAGTAGTTATCCACAATTACAGAGTTAGTGGGGAAGTATGTTCTCAGAGAAATCCTCATTCAGGCACTTTGCTGATGACATCTGACTACAGGATGGAAAGAATGACAATGACAATGTGGAACTCTATATGCCTACACAGGGTTAATCAGTGATATTATGATTTGAGAGGCTTTATGCTACAGACTGTATGCTTGGATCCCCCCAAATTTATATGTCTAAACCTGACCCTGAATGCAATGATATTTGGACATGGGGCTTCGGGGAGATGATTAGGTAATGAGGGTAAAGCCCTCATGAATGGGATTAGTGCCTTTACGAAAGCAACCCCAAAGAGCTGCCTCACCCCTTCCACCATATGAGGACACAGCAAGAAGAAGGTCATCTGTGAACCAGAAACAGGCCCTCAATATCTACCAAATATGCCAGAGCCTTGATCTTGGACTTCACAGCCTCCAGAACTGTGAGAAATACATTTCTGTTGTTTATAAGCTACTCATTCTAAGATATTGTATTATAGCAGCCTAAATGGGCCAAAAAACTTTTCTACTTAAATATACATCTTCCCAGAGCTTGGATTCAAGCTGGACCTTGTGGCTGGAATGCCTTCTCCTCAGCCATTGTTTTCCATTAGGCACCGTGGGAATATTGCAGAAAGAACATGAGTTCTCCAAGAGTGTAAGGAAGTGTTGGAAAGTGGAGAAACTATTGTAATAAATATATTTTTAAATCACAAAATTGAGTTGATGAGCATTTAATGTCTACAAAGTGCACATTGTAGTATCTTGTCAAATGTAATTCAACTCATATGATTATGCATAAATGGGCACATTTTAAATATGTTTCATGTCATTAAGTACTTCAAAGAGTGTCAGAGGCTCTGAGGGACTTAAAAGAACCCCACCTCTTACCCTGGCCTGCCTGGAGACAACTCTACATTGGTCAAATGCCAGCTCAAGTTCACTTCCTCTGAGAGGCTGTTTACTAATCTGCATTCCTGTTTCCTCTAGGCTAAAAAGTTAAGCATGTATTTCTCTGTGTTGTGATGATAACTTATTCGTATTATGACTTCAGTCGTTTATTGTGGTTTTGTTGTTTGCTTGTTTTTGGGTGTGCTCTAAAATACTGCCTGGATTTTTAGTTTATCCAGAACAGGGACCAGGTATTACTCATCTTTTTATTTCCAGCAGTAGAAACAGTACAGGTAAGATAGTAGGTGCCCCAAAGTCATTTACTGGATTAAATTCCATTTCTGTTCAGATGCCAGAGCACCTGAAATTATACCTATATAATTATACTTTTTTGGAGTTTACCAATATTATCATAAAATGCACATAATCTTGAGAATTATATTGGAGGGTTTTTCCTGGATCTTTTGCATACCTTACTGTTTTACCTAGGAGTGCACAGGTACAGAATATTAGAATCATATTTGATCATTTAACTTTTACTCAAAGGATGATGGCTAAACTGAAATTTCCTCTCTCCCCCATTTACTTTTTTGATTTCTTCTTTTTTTTTTTTTTTTTTTGAGACGGAGTCTCGCTCTGTCGCCCAGGTCGGACTGCGGACTGCAGTGGCGCAATCTCGGCTCACTGCAAGCTCCGCTTCCCGGGTTCACGCCATTCTCCTGCCTCAGCCTCCCGAGTAGCTGGGACTACAGGCGCCCGCCACCGCGCCTGGCTAATTTTTTTTTGTATTTTTAGTAGAGACGGGGTTTCACCTTGTTAGCCAGGATGGTCTCGATCTCCTGACCTCATGATCCACCCGCCTCGGCCTCCCAAAGTGCTGGGATTACAGGCGTGAGCCACCGCGCCCGGCCTTGATTTCTTCTCTTTATTATTATAAAATGTTTTCTCCTCATTCCTTCCAATTTGGACCTATCATAAAGGTTTTTATCAAGAATCAGTTTCCTTTAGGGTTATTTATCTCAAAACTTTGAAGATTCAAGATTTTCTTTCAAATAAACCTTTTCATAATTTACTCTTAATTCTAAGATATTCATTTTCTCTTTTAGTGAATAGGAAAAAAACAAGGGACAGAGAATGCTTATCCTCATATGTAATATTTTTACATTTACTGGTTCTTGATTAATTACAGCTATATGCTACAGATGTCCAGCATAAACTGGATCATTTAATGCATAATTGCTCTTTTTAGATGAACTCAAGATCTATTGCTCTTATTTTCCATGGACTGCAGCAATTATGTACCTGAACAGAATTAAGTTCCCATCTTCTCATGTCATGGGACATTGTTTCATGGAATATAAGTAATAGAAACTAACTTGAGGAGAAAGTGTTCTTATAATAGCCAAAGTGATACTTTTATGAATGCTTTCAGGTTCCTGAAAGGAGGAAAACTGCAGATATCACCATTAACTCATGTAAAAAACAAATTTCATTTTGCAGAAACTGATTGTTCACATGATAGTAATATTGTCACTAGAGGAGTAAGTTTTCAAGAAATGCATCATGGACTTGGTGACAAAATATTGTTCATATGCTTTAACTCTTCAATTAACAAGAAAAACCTAAGAAAAAATTTAGATTATTGAAGAGATGAAAGAGTCGAAGGAAGAAAAGTCTATAGCATATATTTTTGCTTCGTTTTGAATTTTATTTTTCATATTGACTTATAGCTAACAAAATGTGTTAGTTTTTCCATAAGGATAACTATTATTTATGACAGCACTGAGTGTGTGGGGGCTGAATTTTTGGTGAGAACAGTAACCTTTTTACAATTTGATTGGTTTAATGTCATAACAGCATTAGAATTCCAACACAGACTTTTGAAAAAAACAATATCACCTATATTTCCAAATTATTTAATTGAATCGTGCACCTAACACCTTAATTTACTTGTTGGTTTTGATCTCTTGTCTCCTTCTTGAAGGCATTTTTCAAATGGGAATAACAAACTACTAATGTGCTTTTGAGCCAAAAAGGTTACACGTCAGAGCTGCCATGCAAAGGCCCTCTTTCATAGAGCTTTTTTATTGAGGTCTAAGATCAGTTACAGAATAGGACGATGAATGTGGAGCCCGCTGAGTGGCAGGTTTGATATGGCAGAGTTGTAGGCTACAAGCCAGAAGCCAGACTTAAGCGTTCAGTTCCATAACTACACTTTGTGATTGACTTTAGGCAGGCAAGTCATAAATTGTATAAAATTGGGGTGAACATACCTCATTCAAAGAATGGCTTTGAGAATGTGATGATATGATACATAAAAAATCACTCAAAAAGCACAAAAGGCAAAACAAATCTCAAACTCTATTTAGATTTTCTCCTGGTCTGCTACCTTAAAGCATCAAGCTTGACCTAAGGTTGAAGTATTCTGTTAAACCACAAAACGGTACCAAGAAGCACTTCTTTGGATTTAACTTCAGACACGTTACAGGTTGAGTGTTCCTGAACTGAAAATCCAAAATTGGAAATGCTCCCAAATCTGAAACATTTTTAGTGTTGACATGATGCTCAACCTTAATTTGATATCCAGATTACAGATGCTCAACTTATAAGTATAAATCAAATACTCTCAAATCAGAAAAAAACCTGAAATCTGAAACATTTCTGGTAACCAGCATTTCAAATAAGTGATACTCAACCTGTATGTACTCTTTTTGGTTGATTTAATTCATCTCTGTTAATACAAATCAGACTTCATTAATAAATAGCATCAATACTTAGATGGGGAGAATAAGTACCGCTGTTCTATTACATAGTATGGTGACTATAGCTAAGAACAACGTATTGTTATGTTTCAAGATAGGTAGAAAAGAGGATCTTGAAAGTATCATCACAAAGAAATGATAAAGGTTTCAAGTGGTGGACATCCTAACTACCCTGATTTGATCACTATACATTGTAGTCATGTATTGAAACACCAGCCTGTACCCTATAAACATGAACAATTATCAGATATCAATTACAAACAAAATAAATAGCATCATAGCTGTCATTTATTGAAGCACTGTCCACTTCTAATTTAATCGCCCACTAAAAGCTCTGTGAAGTAGCTCATATTACTTGTACTTTAAAAATGAAATTAAAAGAACTTGTTTAAGAAAACCAGAATGTAGGCCGGGTGCAGTGGCTCATGCCTGTAATTCCAGCACTTTGGGAGGCCAATGCAGGCAGGTCACCTGAGGTCAGTAGTTCAAGACCAGCCTGGCCAACATGGTGAAACTCTGTCTTTACTGAAAATACAAAAATTAGCCTGGCATGGTGGCACATGCCTGTAATTCCAGCTACTCGGAAGGCTGAGGCAGGAGAATTGCTTGAACTCAGGAGGCAGAGGTTGCAGTGAGCTGAGATCATGCCACTGCATTCCAGCCTGGGTGAGAGAGTGAGACTGTCAAAAAAAAAAGAAAGGAAGAAAGGAAAAGAAAGAAGAAAGAAAGAAAGAGAAAGAAGAAAGAAAGCAAGCAAGAAAGAAAGAAAGAAAGAGAAAGCAAGCAAGCAAGAAAGAAAGCAAGAAAGCAAGCAAGCAAGAAAGCAAGCAAGCAAGCAAGAAAGAGAAAGAAAAGAAAGAAAAGAAAAAGCAAGCAAGCAAGAAAGAAAGCAAGAAAGCAAGCAAGCAAGAAAGCAAGCAAGCAAGCAAGAAAGAGAAAGAAAAGAAAGAAAAGAAAAGAAAAAAAGAAAGAAAGAAAGAAAGAAAGAAAGAAAGAAAGAAAGAAAGAAAGAAAGAAAGAAAGAAAACCAGAATGTAAATCCAGGTCTGCCTGTTGTCACTTTCACACTTTCACATTGGTCTAGAACCATAGATCCATGTCACCTACAGTGTATTACAATCTTCACTGGAATATCTAGGTTACTCAAATTTAACATGTTTAATTCTGAATTCATTATTTTCCTTCCAAGATGAGATTCTCTGCCTTGCATTAATAATTTAGTTAATTACAACAATATCTACTTAGATTTGCAAGCCAGAAACCTACATTGGTTTTACGTTCTCTTTCTCTAAACCACCGTGGCCAAATAGTCAAAAAAATAGCCACTTCTACTATAAAAGTAGGTTTCACCATCTTCTACCCACACAGCCACATTTTTAGTCCAAATTCAAATAATTGTTGGTTGATATGATAGCCTTTACATTGGTCTCCTTGTTACCAATTATTCTCTATCCAAAAGCACCTATCATGTTGTAACTCCTTATCAAGACACAGCATCCTTTATTAACGTGCCTTGACCTATATTTCTGGTTTCATTTTCGGCATACTTTGTATCCAATCCTTGGACACATGAAACTTGTCTAGAAAGTGTTTATTCTAGCTTCTACTTCAGTGGGCTTCCCCAATATTTCTTGCCTTTAAAACTCTCTTCCATTCTTCAGACTTAGCTTTTCCTAGCTCCTTTATTAAGTCTTTCTTTAGTTATCTGTCTGCATGCATGTGTCTCCTGGTAAACTGACATCTCCTGGAAGGTAAGACTCAGGATTTAGCCCCCTATCCCTGAAAACTACCGTATTATCATATATAGAAGTGCTTAATAATTTTTTTGTGAAATAAATGATTGAATTAATAGTCTACATCTGAATACACAAGAAATTCAAAAGCTTATCAAAACCATATTTTATTTTAATAAGGTCTGGACATATTTATACTCAGTAATATTGTATAGACATAGAAAATGTTAACCTTAAATAATGAGATTCAGAAAATATAATTAGTTATAGAGTATATTCTAGCTCAAAGCTTGAGAATAGCCACCTAGTAACACAGATTCCAGTTTCCCTAAATATATACTCCAATTAGCAGCAGTTCCAAAGTAGATTTTTAAAGAAAAAAGAAGAAGCCATTCCTAAGTTGTTTTCCAATAACTTACCTTAAAATAACATAAGCTCTTGATTGGCTGTAGATTGTTTTTTGCGTCACAAATTCCAGGAACATGAAGGTAATGGAGGAGGAAGCTAGTCAGGAACAAAATGCCCTTTAACAATTGCCCTGGCATGAGTGTGGGAGATGTGGAGTGGAACGTGACTGCAATAATGAGTAATGCCCAACCAGGAAAGGAACGCTGATTCAAAGTCTTGTTGCCATTGGCCAGACCACCAGGTGGCCCATTACTCAAGATAACCATCACAACCAGATAAGCGACCTGCAGGCCCTACCCCTCACCCGCTTTGCCTAGCAGAGCCTGCATACCCTATCCCTGTTGTTGTCGCCAGAAAAAGAGGTCCTGATCCAGACTCCAAGATAGGAAGTTTGGATCTTCTGCAGGAAGGAATGCAAGGCGAGTTATAGAGTGCAGTGAGAAGAGAGAGTTTATTGAAAGCTACTCAGTTACAGAGTAGGGTGTTCTCAGAAAGCAAGAGGAGGAATGCAACATCAGGGTTTTTAAGTTTTTCTTATATAGGGGTCTTATCTATGTAAAAGCTAAGCTAAATTATGTCTGCATGTGGGTGGGCTCACAGAATGACAGAATTTATTACTTTGTTGATTTAAAGAAGGTTATCCTTGGCATTTTAGTGCATAAGCACAAAGCATAAGTATTATCACTTAAAAAATGCATATTGTTAAATAATATTGGGACATCTGGGTGTTTAGTTGTCCCAGGTGTTTATCCTTGCAGGCATTATTAAGCTGCTTCCTCAGTCTTAAACATCATATGACCGTGGGTCGTGACTGGCAAGGAATGTGCCTTGCTAGTTTTAAGATGGAGTTGATTTTTAAAAAGGTGTCACTCGGCCGTGACACTGCGGTGGCCCATGCCTGTAATCCCAGCACTTCGGCAGGCCAAGGCAGGTGGATCACGAGGTCCAGAGATAGAAACTATCCGAGCTAATACGATGAAACTCCGTCTCTACTAAAAATACAAAAAATTATCTGGGCATGGTGGCGCGTGCCTGTAGTCCCAGCTACTCGCGAGGCCGAGGCAGGAGAAACGCTTGAACCCGGGAAGTGGATGTTGCAGTGAGCTGAGATCACGCCACTGAACTCCGCACTCCAGCCTGGGCGACAGAGCTAGATTCCATCTCAAAAAAAAAGAAAGATGTCACTCTGGCTCTCCTATGCTCCCGTTTTCCTAGCAAAGTCAATTCCTCACTTTGCCTAATTAAAAAAATCCCTAGTGGCTTTTTTTTTTTTTTTTTTTTTTTTTCTTGACAGAGTCTCGCTCTATCACCAGGCTGTAGCGCAGTGGCATGATCTCCGCTGACTGCAACCTCTGCCTCCCAGGTTCAAGCGATTCTCCTGCCTCAGCCTCCTGAGCAGATGGGATTACAGGCACGCGCCACCACGCCCAGCTAATTTTTGTATGTTTAGTAGAGACAGGGTTTCCCCATATTGGGCTGGTCTCAATCTTCTGACCTCGTGATCCGCCCGCCTCAGCCTCCCAAAGTGCTGGGATTACAGATGTGAGCCACTGTGCCCGGCCCCTACTGGCTTTTTAAGGAGCCAACCAGAGGATCCTTGTACCTCTGCTGTTTCCCTTGCACTGAAGCACAAGCCCTGAAATAAAGCCTTATCTGAGAAATCCGCTTGGCCCATGTAAATTTCCATTACATAAGGCCCCAAGAGCCTGTGGTCTGTAACAAAAGTAGGTAAGAAAGTAGGTGATAGACTTCCAGCGTGGCAGCATGAAGAACCATGCTCCCCTGTTCCTACTGAAATGGCTGAAAACTACAAGAAATAACAACCGTGTAAAACCTCTAGAGATCATCCCAAGGACAAAGAGCAAATGAACAAACATCTATTCAAGAACACCTCTGAAAATTCAGTAATAAAGGCAAGAATTTATAGTACTTGAGCCAAGACCAGTTCCTCCCGACTCCCTGTCATCTCAGTGAGGCAGACTCCACGCTGCTGCCTCCAAGAACACAGGGCTGCCTTTCCTCCCAGTTCACAGTTGGAGGGCTTTCCTCCCAGGAGGAGCAGGACATCCTTGCTTTCCATTCTTGATCCCAACCACCTGCTACTGAGGCAAAGTTCTGCCTGAGTGCAGTGGAGGAGTGGGGATACTCTTCTGCCTAACCATCACTCTTTGGTCAGAACTCTACCATGGGTGTGTTCTGCTGAAATACTGGGGCCATGCTCACTCTTGCTCTCACTCACTGAGTACTGGGGTCCTAGAGCAGGGATGTCACTCACAGAGACTGCCATCATCTCCGCCCATAATTCCAGAACCTTAGTTCAGAGATTTTGCCTGAGTGAAAACAGGCCAAAAAATAGTTAACACCTGATTGATTGATTGAGACAGAGTCTTGCTCTGTCGCCCAGGCTGGAATGCAGTGGTATGTTCTGGGCTCACCGCCTCCCAGATTCCAGTGATTCTCCTGCTTCAGCCTCTGGAGTAGACTAACTGGGATTACAGGTGCGTGCCACCATGCCGTGCTAATTATTGAATTTTTAGGAGAGACGGGGTTTCACCATGTTGGCCAGGCTGGTCTCGAACTCCTTACCTCAGGTGATCCACCCTCCTCAGCCTCCCAAAGTGCTGGGATTACAGGTGTGAGCCACCGTGCTCGGTCCACCTGATTTATTTTTAAGGAACTGACTTCATTTGCAACAGAGAAGAAATTCAATTCTAGAGGCACTGTCAAGAATAATGGCAGTTGTGGCTGGGCACGGTGGCTCACACCTGTAATCTCAGACCTTTGGGAGGCCGAGGCGGGCAGATCACCCGAGGTCAGGAGTTTGAGACCAGCCTGCCCAACATGACGAAACCCCATCTCTACTAAAAATACAAAAAATTACCTGAACATGGTGGCGGGCACCTGTAATCCCAGCTACTCAAGAGGCTGAGGCAGGAGAATTGTTTGAACCCGGGAGGCAGAGGTTGCAGGGAGCCGAGATCAGGCCACTGCACTCCAGCCTGGGCAACAGAGCAAGACTCTGTCTCAAAAAAAAAAAAAAAAAGAATAATGGCAGTTGGAGTGAAAGGCAATTGAAAGGAGATTCAGAGATTCAAGATCTCCTTATAAAGTAAGGCTAGGCTAGGCTCATGCCTGTACTGTAATCCCGGCACTTTGGGAGGCCCAGGCAGGAGGACTGCTTGAGTCCAGAAGTTCAAAGCCAGTGAGACCCCATCTCTACAAAAAACAATTTTAGAAAATTAACCAGGTGTGATGGTGCACACCCATAGGCTGAGCTACTCAGGATTCTGAGGCAGGAGGATTGCTTGCGCTCAAGATTTTGAGGTTGCAGTGAGTTGTGATTGTGCCCTTGTGCTCCAGATTAGGTGACAGAGTGAGATCCTGGCTCTAAAATAAATAAATAAATAAAAAAGATACAGTCTAAACTGTAGCTCAGCAAGTTTGAAGGAGGGGACCAGGGAATCTAGAAAGAGTCTTCCTGGAGTCTGCCTGAGGTCTGAGCAAAAATCAGTCACTTCAGTAACTATTCTGTCAAAGAAGCTACAATTTGATTGGGTTAGTTCATGGGACAGTTTATGTCACAGGGCATTGTTAAAGACAATAGAACAATCTGCCGGCAACTGGTGGAATTTAATAGCTAAGAATGGTCAGTGAAAGAGATGAAAATAGTCCTACTAGTACCACTGTCATTCTAGGGTGTCTATGGGCACACCTGAAGCTATACCTCCCAGAGGAAAAACATCAAAAGCTAACACCAGAGATGAAGAGAAATAGATTTTGCTGAAATAATCCACTCAGGCAAATAATAACAAGCTCTCCCTGGGGTTGGCTAGTACTCAGAATTTCTGAGTAGTCTTATAAATTAATTAAGATACACATTAAATATATTTGTAATTATATATACTATATAAAATTTTCAACAAAGAAATTGTGAGGCATACAAAAAAAAAGGAAAGTATGACCCGAACAGTTAAAAAAAAAGTAAATAAAGCAATAGAAACTGCATGTGAGAGAGACCAGATGTTAGGTTTTTCAGAAAAAGACTTTGAAGTAGCCATTATAAGCATGTTCACAGAGCTAATGCAACAAAAAATAAAGAAGTAAAGAAAGAATAAGAACAACATTGAATCAAATATACAATATCAATAGAGATAGAAATTTTAGAAAACAAATGAAAATTCTAACT
Organism: Homo sapiens; assembly: GCF_000001405.40. Classification (NCBI taxonomy): domain Eukaryota; kingdom Metazoa; phylum Chordata; class Mammalia; order Primates; family Hominidae; genus Homo; species Homo sapiens. The sequence goes on along the minus strand of NC_000010.11, from coordinate 19,764,126 downwards.
AATTACTAAAATTTAAAAAATTATCAGAAGGGCTCAAAGAAGGGCACAACATTAGATTTGATCTCACAGAAGAAACAATAAGGAAGTAGAAGACAGATCAATAAAAATTGTGTAAGCTGAAAAACATAAATAAAAAGAATGAATATAAAGTATGAAGAAAAGTGACAAATGGTTCAGAGAAATGTGGGACATCATTAAGCATAACAATATATGTGTAATGGGAGTACCAAAGGAAAGGAGAGAAAGGAACAGAAAAAGAGTAGGCAAAAAATCAATAGTTGAAAGCTTCCCAAATTTATTGAAAAACAGTATTGTACCCATCCGGAAAGCTCAATGCATTTTACATAGGATAAACTCAGAAAGAATCACCAATGTACAAATCATAGTAAAAATGTTGAAAGGTGAAGACAAGGAAAACATCTTGTGGGCAGTAAGAAAAAAATTACTCAGTATTTAAAAGGGAACCCCAATAATATTGCTAAGCCATAAAACAAGCCTCAATAACTTTAAAAGGATAGAAATAGTGCAAAATATGTTCTCTGACTACAATGAAATGAAATTAGAAATCAATAGCATTCAAAAAATTGGTAACTCATAAATATGTGGAAATTAAACACACTCCTGAATCCTCAGTGGGTCGAAGAAGAAATCAAAAGAAAAATCAGGAAATACTTTGCGATAAATGAAAATGAACACACACCATATCAAAACTTATTAGATGCAATTGAAGCAGTGCCTAGAGGCCATTTTCTTGCAGTAAATGTCTACCACGTAAAGGAAGAAAATATCTTAAATCAATAACCTAACCTTCTACCTTTTGATGCTGGAAAAGGAAGTGCAAACTAAACATAAAGCAAGCAGAATGGAGAATATAATGAATATTAGAAAAAAATTAATGAATTAATGGATAGGAAAATAATAGAGAAAACTCAATGAAACCAAAAGCTGGTTCTTTAAAAAGAATAACAAAATTAGCAAGTCTTTAGCTAGATTTACCACAGAAAAGAGAGAGGACTCGAGTCACCTGAATCAGAAATTTAAAAAGGAACATTACTATGGACCCTACAGGAATAAAAAGGATTTTAAATGAATAATATATACAATTGTATGCCAACAAATCAGGCAGCTTAGGAAAAAATGGACTAATTCCTGAAAATGTATAAATGACTAAAACTGACTCCAGACAAAAATAGACAGTCTGACTAGACATGTGATAAGTGGCTAGAACGAAGGAGTAATAATGATAATAATAAATTACCCATAAAGAAAAGTCCAGGCCTAGGGGGCTTCACCACTAAATCTTACCCAATATTATATTTAAAGAATAATTAAAACCAATTATTTATGGACCTTTTCAAAAAAATGGAAGAGAAGGGAATATTTCCCAACTCTTTTTATGAGACTTCTATTACGTTGATACCAAAATTAGACAAAGACATCATAAGAAAAGTACAGCTTAATATATCTTATAAAGATAGGCACAAATTTCCTTAACCAAGAAAACATAAGAATAAATCTTTATGACCTTGCATTTGGCAATGGATTCTTAGGCATGGTGCCAAAAACATGAACAACAAAACAAAAAATAGATAAATTAGACTTCAACAAAGTTAAAAAAAAAACTTTTGCGCTTCCAAGGACACCATCTAAAAAGTAAAAAGACAACCCTCAGAATGGCAGAAAATATTTGCAAATCATATATCTGATAAAGGACTTCCATCCAGACTACATAAAAACTCTTAGAATTCAAAAATTTTAAAAAAATTAAAAATGGACAAAGGATCTGAATAGACACTTTTGTAAGGAAGGCATACAAGTGCCTAATAAGCACATGAAAAGATTCTTGACATAATTAGTCATCAGGAAAATGCAAATAAATATCACAAGTTACCACTTCCTAACCACTAGGATGGCTAGAATCCTACGTCTGATACTATCACATGTTGGTGAGAAACACCAACACTGGATAAATCAGTACCTTCATACACTACTGGTAAGAATGTATGATCATGCAGCTGCTTTGGAAAACAGTCTAGCAGTTTCTCAAATAATTAAATATGGTGTTATCAAATAACTCAGCAATTCCACTGCTAGATTTCACCCCAAATAAATAAAAACTTATGTCTACATAGCAACTTGTATAAGGATATTTACAGAAACACTATTTGTAACAGCCAAAAGGTGGAAACAAACTAAATGTGCATCAACTGATGAACAGATAAACAAAAGGTTGTATAGCAATACAATGAAATACTACTCAGCCATAAAAAGGAATATAGTACTGATATGTTCTACAACACAGATGAACCGTAAAAATAGCATGCTAAGTGCCAGAAGCCAGTCACAACATACCACCTATTATACAATTGTATTTATATGAAAGTCCAAAACAAGGAAATCTGTAGAGACAAAGTAGATTGGTAGATGCCTTGGGCTGGGGTGACAGCTTGGGTGAGGATGATAGCTTGAAAACTATGAGGTTTTTGAGATGAAAAAATGTTCTAACATTGACTACAGTGATGATTATACACAAATCTGTGAATATATTAAAAACCATTGAATAATTGTACACTTAAGTGAACTGGTATGGTATGTGAATTATATCTCAATAAAGTTTTGGGTTTTTTTGTTTTGTTTTGTTTTGTTTTGAGACGGAGTTTCACTCACTGCAACCTCCGCCTCCCGGGTTCAAGCGATTCTCCTGCCTCAGCTTCCAGAGTAGCAGCGATTACAGGCGACTGCCACCACGCCCTGCTAATTTTTGTATTTTTAGTAGAGACGGGGTTTCACTACGTTGGACAGGCTGGTCTGGAACTCCTGACCTCAGGTGATCTACCTGCCTCGGCCTCCCAAAGTGGCCGGATTACAGGCATGAGCCACCACACCCAGCCAACAAAGTTGTTTTAAAAAAGAAGAAATCAGGCAAAACTTTAACATTTTTCAAAAGGCCAAGCATGAGCTAGCATGTCAATTGGTGGAAGGTGGAAGCCTCAGGCAAAAGCTGCATTCACAATTATTTTTCCATAGGCTTCTATCACTTCTTCTCACGAAGAAGTCTGGAGGCAGAGCAAGAAACTGGAGATTTCCCTTTGACGGCAACGAAGGCAACTGGCTGGTCGTGGGGGACAAGCCTGGAGTACTATCACTTGGATGGTCTCTGCTGCGATGTAGAAGACTTAATTAAATCACTGGAATAGGGGCAGCAATTCAGCTCCTTGTCCATATACCGGGAGCTCAGCTGAAAATCCATGTCCTCTGGGGAAGAGTAGAAACAAAATCCATCTGCCTGTAGAAGGGTAGGTAAACCTCTTGTATCTCAGGACACAGACAAAGGTTTATTGCTGCTAGGGAAGGCGGGGACAAAGGGAATGTACTGGTTTGCTAAGGTTGTCGTAACAAACTACTAGAGACTGGGTGGCTTAAATAACAGAAATTTATGCTTTCAGAGTTCTGGAGGAGGTCCAAGATCAATTGGCAGGTTTGATTTCTTCTGAGGTCTCTCTCCTTGGCCTGAAAACAGCCACCTTCTGTGTTCTCACATGGCCAACATCTGCCCAGGTGCACATCCCTGGGGTCTCTATGAGTACAAATTTCATTTCCTTATAAGGACACCTGTCACATTGCATTAAGGCCCATCCTAACAACCTCATTTTAAGTTAATGTCCTCTTCAAAGGCTCTGTCTGCAAATACAGCAGCATTCTGAAGTACTGAGGGTTAGGGCTTTGACATACTGATTTTGAGGAAGACAAAATTCAATTCTTAACAGGATAGAAAATATAACTCCCAATCCTTAGAAAGAGCAGAAAATTGTCTTGTCTGGGATCCTAAATCAATACCCAGAAGAGATCTATTAATGCTGGGTTAGGTCAGAGAACTCTCTCCTCCTTAAGACCAATGCCACAGTGAGGATACCTGGGAGTGGTGAAGTACCACCCCCGAGGGCCAGTCACACACATAGGCCAGAAGGAGACCCAGCCCCGAGGGCCAGTCACACACACAGGCCAGAAGAAGACCGACCTACCCCCGAGGGCCAGTCACACACACAGGCCAGAAGGAGACCCAGCCCCGAGGGCCAAGAAGGAGACCACAGAACTCCCTCCATTGCTGCTCCCACCCTAAATCTAGCACCTTGTGGGGATAGAAAGTGAAGAGAGACTTAGTTTTTTAGCTTAGACATGCAGGTGTTGCTGAACATGAGGGTGGAGCATGAGCACAGAAAAAAACCTCTAGTGCCTTAGTCTGTACTCAAAGCTCAAGATAACAATAGCCAATTGCTCGAAGATTTGAAGTCTGGTAAACTAAAGAGCATGAGAACAGAAACAAACACGTAAGCTTCTGATTAAAATATCTCAAACCCACGCACTAAAACCATGACTAAAGAAGAGGTATATGCTCATTTGTACACATAAATACTATTTACTTCAGCCTCTGCTGTTCTATGTATGATATCCAGCATTCAATAAAAATCTACCAGGGCCAGGTGCTATGGTGGCATGCACCTGTAATCCAAGCACTTTGGGAGGCTGAGTTGGGAGGATCACTTGAGCCCAGGAGTTGGAGGCTGCAGCAAGTCATCATTGTGCCACTGCACTCCTGTCTAGATGACAGAATGAGACCCAGTCTCTTAGAATGAATGAATGAATAAATAAATAAATAAATAAATAAAGCTATTTATCAGACAGATTAAAAAACAAGGAAAACAATCCATCATGAGGAGACAAAGTAATCAAAAGGTCCAGTTTTGAAGTGACTGAGATGTTGAAATTATCTGATAGAGAATTTTAAATAACTATAATTCACAAGAAGCTTGTGGAAAAGTAAACACGCATGAGAAGAACGGGAATTTTAGCAGATAAGAAGAAATCATTTCTAAAAAGTCCAATGAAGACATTAAAAATAAAATGTAGGATATCAGAGGTGAAAAAGTCCTGCAATGGGCTCATCAGCCGGCTAAGCGTAGCTGAGAAAATAATAAATAAACTTGAATATGGGTCAGTAGAAATGATCCAGACTGAAGTTCAAAGATAAAAACTGTAAAAACAAACCCAAAACAGACTGAGCTCCCAGGAGCTTCAGGACAATATCAAATGGTCTAACATATATGAAACTGGAGTCCCAAAAGAAGAAGAAGACAGAGAATGGAACAGAATAAAAATATGCAGAGAAAACAGCCAGACAATTTTTTCTTTTTTTTCTAGACACCGGAAAAGGCAAGGATTGTTTTTTGAAATTTTTCAAAATTAATGGAAAAAATATAAGCCACAGATCTATGAAGCTCAAAGAGCCCTAAGCAGGGTAAATTTCTGAAAACACACCTATACACATCATCATCTACCAGCTAAAAACGAATGACAAACAGAAAAATATAGAAAGCAACCAGAAAAAATATAAATATTACAGAGAGAAACAAAGATAATAATTTCATTAGACTTCTTAGAAACTCTGTAACTCCTCCAAAAATTAGTGATATCTTTAAAGTAATGCAAGAAATCTTTCAACATGACTTTTATACTAAGCAAAAAATATCTTTAAAAAGTTAATATGAAATAAAAAGTTGATTAGGCAAATAAATAAAGGCTTAGAGGATTTATTGGCATTAGCCCTTTGTTTATTAAAGAAGCTCTTTATTCTTTAGACAGAGGAATATGACATCAGATTGAAAATTAGAAACTATCCAAAGAAACATTGTGCCTGGAAGGGTAAAAATAATGGTAAAATATAAAAGACGTGTTTCCATGTTTTGAATTGCTTTAAAAGATAATAATGTAGAAATATTAGCAATGTATTGTGGAGTTTTGACATACACAGATGCAAAAGTATACAAAAAACAGCATATAGGAAAAGAGGGAGAAGACAGAAAAATACTGTTGTAAGGCCCTTACACTATACGTGAAATGACATTTGAAAGTTTACTGTGATAAGTTACTGATGTATGGTAAAAACATCTACATCAATCACTTAAAAATAATATAACATTTTACCTATAGTGGAGTATAAGAAATCCTTAAAATAAAAATATAACAGTTTAAACCAATCTTGACAATAATTAGTGATCTGATGCTCTCATAAAACCTTTGCTATCAGTTGAAAATGCAAATATGTTTTAATATGTCTTTAATTCTAAAACCAATACATTTATCTTTTTACATGCTGTAGTCTTTCTGCAAATTCAAACATAAAATAACTAAGATTAGCTGGGCATGGTGGTCATGCCTGTAGTCTCAGCTACTTAGGAGGCTGAGGCAGCAGGATCACTGGAGCCCAGCCCAGGAGTAAGTTCAGCCTGGGAAACTTAGCAAGAGGCTGTCTCAAAAACAAACAAACAAACAAAAACCACATAAACAAACATAAAAATCCCCTAATATTTATATAGTAAAGAATCTCGTGGAGCAAGTGAACAATATTTTGTTAGCAAGTAATAAGATGAAATCTTCTCCTTTCCACTCCTTACCATGGTAGAAAAAATAATGAACATGCATTATAAAATCACTTTCCAAGGCATTATATTTCTAAATATACCATTGCAAATACATAGACAGTGTAAAAAGCTTTAGCACAAAGAGGAATTATATTTATGGAGCTTTTAATGGGAAGAAAGGACATGGTTTATTTGGTCCTAATGCGTTTTACTCCACTTTAATTCATACTGATATTTTAGATCCAAAAGACATCAATAAAATATAATATTTATCTTTTTAGTTCCCATCAAACACATTTAGTTCCAATAAAACATAAAAGTTGAGCTTTTAATTGTAATATCAGCTTTGATAATTTTTCAACTTCCAAATTACAGATATTGCTGTAATATGATTCATAGAAGCCCATCAAACACTGGCTCCTTTCTTGCACTAATTGATCTACATTCATTCTGATCTTTGGCTTGGTAGTGGTTTTATGCTTTGCGTAGAAATAAATACTGGCCAGGCTGGTTTTCAGAAATCCTTTTCCATCATTCTTCCTTTCTTTTCAGTTCTGCCTCTAGATGCTGCAGTAGATCAAAGCATCTCAAAAGCAGCAATGTGCTCATTGTCTTTTGAGTCATGGTATGATAGAGAGTGACGAAGAGGAACAAGAATATTTGGAACAGCTACAATAGTATCTATTATGCATCAATCATAGAAGGGCGAGCTGAACTGTGCAGAATTGATATGTGCCTATTGTAGAAGCTTTTTCTGTAACCTCAGATAGAAATAATCATTTTGAACTAGGATTTTTGGGGGGAAGATAGCCTCTGTTGGACGAGCATTTTCAGTGCTGTAGGTGGTTCTGCAATTAATGTAAGACACATCAAATGAGCAATTCAATTTCAAAGAATTGGTTTTAATTACTTTGGCAACATGAAATGACCAAGCATTGAAATGTATAATACCAAGCACTGGTTGGCAGTCTTTTGACTCAGAAATAGTCTATTTTCATATTTGTGTCTTGCAAGCATCGTAAGTGTGGAAAAATGCAAATGTTTCGGGAGACTGCAAGTGGGCATCTGCCAAATAGGTATCCATTAGGAGAAAAATTTCTAGTGCTCTCAAAAATTTTAAAATTTGCTTTCAGAAATTTCTAGATCACAGAAATCCTGTTTGGCACGCGCATAATGTGCCTTGTCTCTATATGTAGGGCACAGGTGACTCTGCATTGTTTTCCTCTGTTAACATTTACAATTTTAAATAAAATGTTCCATATTTTATTCTATTTATTATATGATACAGTATCTCTGAATCTGATATACTCCATCAAATGTTCTTCAAAAAGTGAAATTCCAAGATCCTTTTGTAATCAAAATTTTCTAGAGGAATTTATTTTGTAGAAAAATGTACAAATTTAAGAAAAACTGGTGGATTTCTTTCTGATACTACTAAAAAATACATTTTCTAATAGGCACATTATTAGAATGAAAACTGACCAATTTTAGCAACTTAAAAGGTGATTAAAAAGAAAAAAAAGTCTCATGTGAGAAGTTGATCTTAACTTACAGATTAAGGAATCTATAAGTTCCTTACTATTTTTTACATGTAAGGGAAAGATCTGCCTCCAGACTATCACACGGGATTCTTCCCAAGAAACAGAGCTCCCGGGACCCAAGAACTGTGCAGGCATAGAGAGGGCGTGACCTAAGAATTTCCTACCAGGCGCACTGAGACACTTGGCTTGCCTGGGCAGGTGCAGAGACGTGACTTCTTTCCATCATGGCCACAATTAGACTGGAGTAGACTAAAGAGGGTAGCAAAAGAAAGGACTTAAGCCTCAATTTCATGATTTGACACAGACCGGAACCAATCTCTCTCTCTCTCTCTCTCTCTCTCTCTCGCTCCTCTCGCTATATATATATACATACACATAGACATGTATCTCTATCTCTATTTCTATCTCTCTATATTGTTCTTGAGAATGCTATGCTTTTATCAGTACTTTGTTCTACCATCACTACAAAGTTCTCTGTTAAACTGCACATTTTCTGGACAAAAAGAGTTTTCCTTTTGCGGCCTGTAATGTAACACTGGTGTACAGACATGGGATAGAACTATATATGGGTTTGAATGTGCTACTTATATACCTGGACAGATTTAATGCCATTTAAATGAATAGATTTCCTTCTTTCTTTAGCTGAGAAATCATTACTATTTTTCAGGCACACTGACATCAATTATTATCATTTTTGATATTAATGTGATTATAGTGTCGAGTTCTATCACAAGTCTGCTTTAATTTGACATTAAATACCCTCTACTTCCTGAAATTTGTTTCCATGAGCAGATTAATAATGAACAGTATTGTGACATGTATTTTAATGTGTTTCAAGATTTGTACAGTTCAGTACTTTACACATTTGCATCTGCAGCAAAAGTAAGGTCCTATACATTGATTTGTGAGGAATAACATATCACCTCCTCAGAATGTCTCACCATAGAATGTTCACTAGGAAAGTCAAAGTAAAGTGGAATTGTGCTTATTGGAGTCTACTAGACCAAATGAATGCAAAATTTGCCAAGTAAATATTTATTGTGATCCTTCCTGATTTATTTTAAAAGCAATTTTAATAACTTTGCTAATTCAGTGATAACCTTTCATGAGTTTTATTTTTAAGGTATTTTTATCGTTCTGCTCTTACAGTCTGTTCTCAAAGCACGTAATGCCTTCTGTATTAGTCAGGGGTTTTCTAGAGGAACGGAACTAGTAGTATATATGTATGCATGAAAGGGCATTTATTAAGGAGAATTAACTCACAGGATCACAAGGTAAAGTCTCACAAGAGGCCATCTGCAAGTTGAGGAGCAAGGAAGTCGTGGGTCAGTACAAGTTCCAAAACTTCAAAAGTAGGAAAGCCAACAGTGCAGGCTTCAGTCTGTGGCCAAAGGCCTGAGAGCCCCTGGCAAACCACTGGTGTAAGTTTAAGAGTCCAAAAGCTGAAGAACTTGGGTCTGATGTTCGAGGGCAGGAAGCACCCAGCACAGGAGAAAGATGAAGACTCAATAAGTCTCCCTCATTCCACTTTCTTCTGCCTGCTTTATTCTAGCCATACTGATAGCTGGTAAGTTGGTGCCCACCCAGACTGAGGGTGGATCTGCCTCTCCCAGTCCAATGACTCAAATGATAATCTCCTTTGGCAATATCTTCACAGACATATCCAGGAACAATACTTTGTATCCTTCAATCCAATCAAGTTGACACTCAATATTAACCATTACACCTTCTGAAAATCTATCAATATAATATTTTGACTGGGCATGGTAGCTCATACCTATAATCCCAGCACTTTGGGGGGCTGAGGCTGGAGAATCACTTGAGCTCAGGAGTTTGAGACCACCCTGCACAATGTAGTGAGATGTTGTATCTACAAAAAAATTTTAAAAATAGCTGGGTGTGGTGGCATATGCCTGAAGTCCCAGACTCTTGGGAAACTGGGGTGGGAGGATCACTTGAGCCTACGAGGTTAAGGTTGCAGTGACCCGTGATGATGCCACCGCACTTCGGCCTGGGTGAAAGAGTGAGACCATCTCAAAAAATAGAAAAAAAAAAATCAAATTTTTTTTTTGTTATTTTAATAATTTTTTTTCTGAAAAACTTAACTTGTGATTGATTATGATTAATCCTGAATAACAGGCAATATGCAAAAGTATCTGTAAAGAAGACGTGGAAGAATTATTGGAAACCTGAAGGGATACATTTTTCTAACACATTCCTTGTCTGCATTCCCAGGTCCCCATCTGCATCTGAAGTTGCATTGTTATTCTCTTGTATTCTCAGCCAATTCATAATATATTTCCCACGCATATTATCTATGAACTAATAATGGCAAAAATGGTAGGTTCTTATAACGGTAGTATTATGAAACGAAAGTTTGTGTACACCCAAAATTCAAATGTTGAGGCCCTAACCTCAATGGGATGGTATTTGATATGAGGCCTTTAGGAGATTAATTAATATTAAATGAGGCTATGAAGGTCGAACCCTCATGATGGGATTAGTGCACTTATAAGAAGAGAAACCAGACCGGGCATGGTGGCTAGTCTGTAATCCCAGAACTTTGGGAGGCCAAGGTGGGTGGATCATCTGAGGTCGGGAGTTCAAGACCAGCCTTGTCAACATGATGAAACCCCATCTCTACTAAAAATACAAAAATGAGCTGGGTGTGGTAGTGCACGCCTGTAATCCCAGCTACTTGGGAGGCTGAGGCAGGAGAGTCTCTTGAACCCAGGAGGCAGAGGTTGCAGTGAGCCCAGATTGCGCCACTGCACTCCAGCCTGGGCAGCAGACCAAGACTCCATCTCAAAAATAAATAAATAAATAAAGAAGAGACACCAGCGAGGTTGCTTGAGTGTACACAAAAAAGAGGTCATATAAGGACAAATGGAGATTGCATCCACCTCCAAGCCATGAGGCCTCAGAAACTTGCCTTGTTGGCCCCTTGATTTTGGACTTCCCAGCCTCGAGACGTTTGAGAAATAAATGTCTGTTTTTTAAGCAACCCAGTTGAGGATACATTGTTATAGCAGCCAGAACTAAGAAAAGCACCAACTTATGTTGCTTAAGTTGGTATTCTTTGGTTGTTTAGCAACAGAAACTAACCTTAATAACTTAAGCAAGAAAAAAAAGACACACTGGAAGGATACCAGGGAGCTCTCAGAATTAAAGAGAAAAGCAGAACAACCAGAATCCATGAAGAATATGATGTAGGTTTGCTTTGCGAATGGCCATATCAGGAGTAAGGTCATCATGTTTCCAGGCATTTCTCTCAGGTGCTTCAGCCTTGTTCACTTCATAACCACTTTCCATTCTATGTCTTTGTTTAAGATGCAAATTCCCACTAGAGAGAACTTCATTGACATACCTGGGATTGGTAACATTTATTTCATAATTTTATATCAATCTATATAAGTAACATCTGTCAAAATTATATTTTCTTTGCTGTATTCCAGTTTTTTGACATAGTAAGGCAGGTATCACAATTGAAAAAGGAGAACAATGGTATAGAATTGCTTAAATCGCATGTAAATATCCTTTTTTTTTTTTTTTTTTTGAGACAGAGTCTCACCCTGTTCCCCAGGCTGGAGTGCAGTGGCACAATCTGGGTTCACTGCAACCTCCACCTCCTGGGTTCAAGTGATTCTCATGCCTCAGCCTCCCAAGTAGCTGGGACTACAGGTGCGTACCAACATGCCCAGCTAATTTTTGTATTTTTAGTAGAGACTGGGTTTCACCATATTGGCCAGGCTGGTCTCGAACTGCTGGCCTCAAGTGATCCACCCACCTCAGCCTCCCAAAGTGCTGGGATAACAGGCATGAGCCACCTTGCCTGGCCAAATCACATGTAAATATTTTTCTAGAAGATCTGAAATAATTTCCTTTGAAATCATCTTTGCTTTTGGATTTCTGAATGTCTGCTATAGTTATTACTCCATGATTTCTGTTATCTGTTGCCTCAATTTTTTATTGACATTTCCCTAGAAAATCATAAATTTTACCTAGGTTTTCAAATTGATTAGCCTTCATTAGTACAAATAACTTTTTAAAGTTTCAAAATCTGGCCAGTAGTTGTAAAGCTTTTCCTTATCTCGTTTCTCTTCGTGATTTTCATATTTTCTTTACTTTATTGAACAAGCTGGTAGCTTATCTCTTTTATTACCGTTGAAGTGCATGGGTCTCATAATCAGTTTTAACATATGCCCGTGTGCTATAATTTGTCAAATTTCCCATTTGATCTTTATTAGTCAGTTTTTAATGTAGTCCATAGGTTTGTTATTCTTTTGCCATTTTTAATTGAATTAAATACATAATTAAATTATCCTTATATCTACTGGCAAAATAAGTAAAGTGACAAATCTTCATGTGCATACATCTTTGGTGACATCTCATAAAAGATAACTCTTTGTCACCAATCCTCAAATATATTACACAATCAAACCGTTCTTTTATCTCTTCTTATTAACAGTTGCATCTGAGACAGATTTTAATTTTCCGTCAGGTAAATAAGTTTCAGTTTGGTTTCTACTTAGGCCATAATGATTTCCATTGCTTTTTGAAAAGAGAACATAATCAATTCAGGTGATGTTAATGTATTGATTTTTTTAGGATTCTTTTAATGATCAATTTTTATAAATATTTCATGGAGCTTGGAAAGATGTTTTTGACAGGGTATAGATTTTTATGTGTTTCTAGACTAGCCTTATTATTTATACCTTATACACTTAAGTTTTTGATGTATTTGATTTGCTAATGACAGGGACAATTATGTTTAAATCTCTCCCTAGTATTGTTTTCTACTCAGAGGATTTTTTTCTTTATATATTTAAATATTATGTGATTTGGTAAAGAGGATTCGTGGCAGTTATGCTATCATATTCTTATCATATTCTTTATAAGCATAATAAGAGCTCCCAGTAACACTTAATGATATTTCCTTGGCTTCAGCTTTTTCAAATATTAATTTTCTTAATCAGAATTTGATTTTGCTGACATTTAAAAAAATATGACTTAGTTCACCACTCTACTTTCAACTTCACTTTACATTAGGTGTATGTTTTGTATACAGTAAGTGTTTTTGTGTTTTTAACCAATAAATATTTTTTGCTTTTACTAAAATATCTATGGTATTTATAAATTTTGTTTCCTTTACTGTCATTTTTAAGAGCTGAAAGCATAAAAATTTAGAAAGCATAAAAATTAGGTCTCACCAAATACAGAATATCAACAAATATATTGAAATTATAAAAAAGAACTAAACTAAAATTATGCAGATGAAAAATACAATAACTGAAATTTTAAAAAGATTACTAGAGGGTCTCAAAAGCAGATTCCAGCATGCAGAAGAAAGAAGCCATACATTTAAAGATCATACAATTCTCTAGTATGAGAAACAGAAAGAAAAATAAATGAAGGAAAATGAACAGACTTCAGAGATCTGTGGGAACTATGAAGTACACCAACAACCACTCATGGGAGGCCCATAAGAAGGAGGAAAAGTAAAATGGCCAGAAAGAACATATGAAGAAATATGGGCAAATATTTCTCAAATTTGATTTCAAAGAACTATACACATGCAAGAATCTCAAGAAAAACTCTAGAAGAGAACAGTATAAATCTTCTTGACCTTGTAATTGGCAAGAGTTTCTTAGATATAACATCTAACACACAACCAAGGGCAAAACATAAAGAAATCATACATCATAAAAATAAAAACAAATTGTACATCAAAGGACACGATTAAGGAAGCAAAAAGACAACCCACAGAATGGCAGAAAGTGTTTGCAAATCATCTGTCTGATAAGGGTCTAGTATCCACAATATATAAAGAACACTTACAACTCAACAATTTAAAAATAAGTCCATGAAAAATGGCCAAAGTATTTGAGTAGACAGTTTGTTTTTGGAGCTCCCAGCTAAACTGAGGTTCTAGTACTAGAGAAGCTAGCAACCCGCCCCTAACACAATACAACGAAGAACTAGATGTGGGTGTTTACTCTGTGCTTTTCATGTGATACTTCTTTTACCTGGCAGGTGACCTGAAGCCTTGTTGTCCAACCTGTGACTAGGGGATTGTCTCTCACATGGGAAACGTGTTTACACTGGCAGATGCCCTTGTGGCTCTTCTGCAATGTGTCAAGTTTATGATTCTCTGACTAAGGCTCTGGGGCTAGGAACCTGACCTTGTGTTCTCTTCTGGTGTCCCAAGCAAAGCTCAACCTGGAGCAACCCTTGGTGCTTTAGGTAGAAAGCGCAAATTTAATACACCACCACAATAGGGAACAAGTTCAAAGGTTTTTACTTACAGATCCTGGTCAAGGAGGGTGCAATGAGTCAGAAGGGTGGTCCTTTATCCTTGTATCATGTAGGCAGGAATGAAGAGTCAGGCAGAAAGAGAATGAGCTCATGAAAGTATATATAAGGAAATAGGGTGTGGATCACTTTAAGTTTTTGGGCAAATGCTTGAATAGTGCATTTAAAGGAAGTGGCAGGAAAGAGGGAATCCCAGTCTCCTAGACAGAAAAGGAGTTCCTGAGTTCTCATCTCTGGCCACCAGCTTGAGTAATCTGGGTGTGGTCTAGACTGGACACTGTGTCAAGGGTAAATTAGTGCTGATTCTGGTGTGAGAAAGTTAAACTTGTATTGAAAATGGATACAGATGCAACAAAAAATTTTAAGAATTCATTACACAGATCTCCAAAGAAGATATACAAATGGCTAACAAGCACATGAAAAGATTCCCAACATTATTAGTCATTAGAGAAATCCAACTTAAAACCACAAAACACCACTTTATCACCACTAGGGTGGCTACAATAAAAAACATGGATATTAACAAATCTTTGTGACAATATGGAGAAACTGGAAACCTCATGCATTGCTGGTAAGAATGTAAATGATGCAATCAGTGTGGAAAATAGTTTGGTGATATCTGAAGAAGTTAAAAAATATAACCCAGTAATCTTACTCCTTGATACCTACACAAGATAATTGAAACTACTTGTCACACAAAAACTTATACATGAATGTGCACAGCAGACCTATTCATAATAGCTGAAAAGTGGAAATAATTCATTTTATCAACTGATGAATGTACAAACAAAATATGACATATCTATACCATATAAATATATCCATATATCTATATATTATTCAACAATACATAGTATTAAAGTAGTAGAACACCCTACAACATTGACAATCTTGAAAACATTAGCTAAGTGAAAGAAGCCAGACATAAAAAGTTACATATTATATAAGTTCCCTATTTTTCTGTGAATTCTGCAGAGAAGTAGATAATTTTGTCTATATTAAGTATCTAGAATAGGGAAATCTACAAAGACAGAAAGCGCATTACTGATTGTCAGGTAATGTGGGAAAGGGAGAATTGGGAATAAGGGCTCACAGATATGGAATATGTTTTTGAGGTGACAGAAACATTCTGGGATTAGACTGTGGTAATAGATGCACAAGATGAGAATATATATAAAAATCACTGAATTTTATAATTTATATAGGGGTAATAAGGCTATTGCTCTTTGTAAGTTCTTGGATGATGATGCGTTTAGGCAGGAACCCTGTTAATGGGGGTAAACCTCCTAGGGATAGTAGAATTAGTGGAATTACAGGTGTCAGCCATGCTCATTTGTTTCAGGCGTGAGATAGTGACAGGGTTGTGGTGCTTACACTCAGGTTGAGTGCTAGAAATGCGGCTGTTGTTAAGATAAGGTAAATAATCAGGTTTAGGGTGGTAATATTTGGGTTATAAATTAGTACTGCTGTTATTCAACCTATGTGAGTGATTGAGGAGTAGGCCAGGATTTTACACAGTTGGGTTTCATTAAGTCTCCCTCAACTGCCCACTCTAATGGATAGGATTCTGATAGATAAGGGGATGTTCATGTTTGTTGATGGGAAAATTTGAAACATAATCGAGATAGGGGCTAGTTTTTGTCATATCAGAAGTATACCAGACATTACAGAGATTCCTTGGGTTACCTCTGAGACTCAGAAGTGAAAGGGGGCTATTCCTAGTTTTATTACTAGGGCCACTATTATTAAGAATGAGAATTGATTGATAGTGTTTATAATTTTTCATTGTCTGGAAGCCAGGTTATTGGGAGGGATGTCTATTATAAGAATTATAGATGTGCTTGCTTGTGTAAGGAAATATTTGGTGGCTGCTTCTGTAGAGCAGGGATTTATTTTTTAAATTAAGATTGGAGTAAGGCTAGTTTGTTTATTTCTAGGCCTGTTCAGGTGAGAAATCAGTGTGAGCCTAGCATTGTGATAAGAGTTCCTGTGAAAATAGTAAGAGAAATACTAAGTTGAGCTAAGGGATTAATTAGTACGGGAAGGGTGTAACCTACATTTGTGAGGTATGGGCCCGATAGCTTATTTAGCTGACCTTGCTCTAGGACGTGGTGTAATAGGTAGCACAGAGAATTCTGGATTCTCAGGGGTAGGTTCAATTCCTATAGAACCTAGGAATTATTTCAAATCCTAGAAATAAGAGCATTTTAACCTCTATTGTTTACTCTATCAAAGTAATTCTTTTGTCAGACATATTTCATATGTTTGGTGTGGGATGCTGGAAATTAAGACAGGCATTGAGATATGTCATATGCAAAAATGCTAGTGTAAGTGCTAAGTTTGTTAAGATGGCAGAGCCCAGCAATTGCATAAAACCTAAAACTTTATAATCAGAATTTCAACTCCTCTTCTTAACAATATGCCTATAATTAACCTTCTCCTTATCCCCACTCTTACCGTTATAGCGTTCCTTGCACTCATCAAAAGAAAAAGTTTAGGCTATATACAACCACACAAAGGACCCAACATTGTAGGTCCCTATGGCCTGCTTCAACCATTCATTGATGCAATAAAACTTTTCACCAAAGAACCTTTACCGCCCTCAACATCTACTATTACCCTTTATATTATTGCTCCAAACCTGACCCTTTCTATCGCTCTCCTCTTACAAAGTCCCCTCCCTACGGAGGTTGAATTATGCTCTGAGGTCACCCCAACCACATTTTTTAATGCAGGGATAGTAGGCTAGGGCCTCTAGGCTTGTTTGAGTTTTTATTTGCATTAATGAATTAAAGCTCCATAGGGTCTTCTTGTCTTATTTGTTTATATCCGCCTCTTCATGGATACGTCGATTTCATTGATTAAAAGAGACAGCTGAACCCTTGTGTGGCCATTCATACAAGCCCCTGTCGAGGGAACAAGTGATTATGCTACCTTTGCACAGTCAGGATACCACAGCCATTGAACATATATCACTGGGAAGGCAGTGCCTTTAATACTGGTAATGCTAGAGGTGATGTTTTTGGTAAACAGGCGGGGTAAGATTGGCTGAATTCCTTTTACTTTTTGTAATCTTTCCTTAGAGCATGGCTGTGTTGGGTTAACAGTGTAAATAATAGGGTGCTTATTATATTGTTTATTAATACTAGGCTGTTAACTATCAGTGGGTTATTCCGGTCTGATGTAAGCTTATGCAATGGAGAATGTCTTCGTGATACCTGTATAATAGGCTAAATGGTAAATGTTATGGTATATGAATTATCTCAACTTAAAAAAATCAAAATACAGTTTCATGAATTATCACATAAATCATGGTTGTGTGATAGCTTCTAAGTCAAAAAGTAGGTAATTGTCAAGATCTCCTTTTCATATTTTCTTTCATAATTTCACCACCTAGACTTGCACACCTAAATACTATATTACTAATATATATGTTTTTGCATCTATCCTCTTTCCTGGACGTTGTGTTTGTGAGATTCGACACTGTTGCATATACTATAGTTTGTTCATTCTATTGTTCTATTTTATTACTATGCTACACTTTACTTAATGTATTATACAGACACACACACGATTGACAGATATTTGGCTTTTTTCCTATTTATCATAATGTGGTGATCATTATTCTTATATATGTCTCTCAATCCACATATGTATGCAATTTCGTATACTGGTTGCACATTTTATTGGAGACATATATATATATATATATATATATATATAATTCCTGGATTGACATATATATGGAATTCCTGAAGGGGGTGAATGGTGGGTTATGAGGCAACCATATGCTCAGCTTTAGAAGATAATGACACATTTACACTCTTAGCAGTAGGTATGAAAGTCTAGTTGCTTCATTTCCTAGGCATTGTCAACAGTTTCTTGGCAGCATCCTTGGTATTTGCCAGTTGTCTTAGTGAACTTGGGCTACTGTAACAAAACACCATAGTCTGGTGGCTCAGACAACAGAAACATATTTCTCACAGTTATGGAAGCTGGGACGTCTAAGGTCAACGTGCTGACAGGGTAGGTTTCATTTTGAAAACTCCTCTTGGCCTTAGGCAGCTGCCATCTCATTGTGTGCTCACATGATCTATTTTTTTCGCATGCAAGGCATAATGGAGAGCGAGACAGAGAAATAGAGAGAGACAGAGAAAGAGAGAGACAGGCAGAGGCAGGGAGAAAGAGAAAGAGAGAAAGAGACAGAGAGGGACACAGAGAGAGGTTTCTCTGGGTGTCTTTCATAAGGCCACTAATCCCATCATGGTGGTCCCACTCTCATGACCTCAGCTAACATTAGTTACCTCACAAACGCCCCATTTCCAAATGCTATCACATTGGGGGTTAGGACTGAACATATGAATCTGGGGAGACACAGTCAGTCTATAACACTAACATTTAGTATTGTCAGTCTTCTCAAATTTTAGCCATTCTGCTTGGCAAGTGGTAGTATGTATGAACCAATTATCTAGTGCTACCTAGTTGTACATTTAATTTGGATTTGCCAGATAATTTACAAGGTTAGGATGTATTCATATGATTACTTGCTCATTTTGTTTTGTGAATTTCATGTTCAAGTGTCTTGCTAATTTTTCTGTTGCTTTTTTCTTATGGATTTAGAGTTAAAAAAAAATATGTTCTGGCCAGGCATGGTGGGTCATGCCTGTAATCCTAGCACTTTGAGAGGCCAAGGCAGGAGAATCACTTGAGATCAGGAGTTTGAGACCAGCCTGAACTACATCCTGAAGTACTGTCTCTCCAAAAATAAAAATAAAAAAATAAAAAGCACACACCAGTAGTCCCAGCTACTCTGGAGGCTGAGGCAGGAGGATTGTTTAATCCCAGGAGATTGAGGCTGCAGTAAGCCATGATTGCACCATTGTCCTCAAGCCTGGGTGATAGAGTAATAAAAATATATTCTTTGTATATGTATCTTATTAGTTGTATGTAGTTCACTCTTTTTCATCTCTTAATGGCATCTTGTTGAACAGAAGTGTCTAAATTTAGTATCATCCAATTTATTAATCTTTTATGGTTAATTTTGTGCTCATTTAAGAAGTCTTCCTCTTATGGAGATAACAATCATATTTTTGTATAGATCATATTCTAGGTCATTCTAGGAGGTTTAGTGTTATGTCTTTCACATTTAGACGGACAGATGCTCCTCCACTTATGATGGGGTTACATCCTGATAAACGCATTGCAAATTGAAAATATCATAAGCCAAAAATGCATTCAACACATTCAACTTAACAAACTTCATAGCTTGGCCTAGTCTACTCAAGACATGCTCAGAACACTTACATTAGCCTACAGTTGGACAAAAGCACGTAACAAAAAGCTTGTTTTATAATAAATTGTTGAATATTTCATGTAATTTATTGAACACCATACAGAAAGTGAAAAACAATGGTTGTGTGGGTACTCAAAGTACAGTTTCTACTGAATATTCCTTTCATAGCATTGTAAAGTCAAAAAATCCTAAATGAAACCATCATAAATTGGGGAACATTTGTTCAATAAAACCCACCTGGAACTGATATTCACATAAAGTAGGTGGGGGATGTCAGGTTTCACTAATTTTTCTGCATGGAAACAAAGCTTTAGCCCATCATTGAAAATGCCCTTTCTGCACTATTTTGCAGTGCCCCATCTGTTGGAAATCAGATATCCCTCTGTGTGGGTGTCTATTTCTGGGATATGTATTCTTTCCCTTTGGTTTGTCTATCTTTATAGACAATATCACAATGCGAAAATTATGCTAACTTTATATATGATCTTCAATAAAGAATTCCTCACACCACATTCTTCAAGACTTTCTTGGCTAATTTTAGGTCACTGCATTTCCTTATACATTTTAGAATCAGTTCCTCAGGTCTTTAATATCTGGCAGAAATTTGGTAAGAATTTAACTGAATCTTTAAAGATCAATTTGAAAAAAATACATAGTATGTGTCTCTATATGTCTTCTTTAATATCGCTCATTAAAATTTTTAAGTTATATGTGTCTTTTGTAAAATTTATTCTAATGTATTTATTTTTAACTTATGATTTTACTTAATTATTTTATATTTGTTTCAAGATCTATAGAAATTAAACATTATATATTAATTGTATAACTAACAAACCTAATAAAGTCAATAATTAATTTATTAACCTTGAAATTGTTCTAAACTTTCTGTGTAACCAATCATACTAGCTGTAAATAATTACAGCAGTTTTTTCCTTTTCAGTCCTTATAACTTATATTTCTTTTTCATGTCTTATTTTCTCACTAAGATACCCAGTAAGCAGTTAAAATATCTTGAAAGAAGTGGCAATAGTGGGTATACTTGGCTTATTCCTCATATCAAAGTGAAAGTTTTCAACATTTTACCATTAAATATGCTGTGAGGTTTTTTTGCAGATGCCTTTTATTATATTAATAATGTTAACTTTCCTTCATTTCCTAGTTTTCTAAAAATTTTTATTATGAACAGATGTATTTTACCAAATGTTTTCTATGCACCTATTATAATTATCATGTACTTGTTTCTCATTCCGCTAATGTGTTGAGTTACACTGAGGTTTTAAGTTAAACCAAACTTGCATTCATAGAGTAACTATAAAAACAGATATATATATATATATAATATATAATTTATAATATATATATACACACATACATATTTGGTTATTCACATATATCATGTATTTATATTATATCACACATTTATATTATATATATTTATTACTTCACATCATATATGACATAATATATATTATATGCATACAACGCTTCACATTTGTGTTTATATGTAACATTGGTCTAAAATTTTTCTTTCTTACAATGTCTTTGTCAGGGTTTGTATCAAAACTATGCTGTGCTCATGACATGTATTGGGAAGTATTACATCTTTTCCTGTTCTTTGAAAGTACTTGTAGAAGTTGGTCAATTCTTAAATGAAATGAAATTAAATTAATTAAATGTGATTAATTTTTTTTTTTTTTTTTGAGGTGGAGTCTCACTCTGTCACCCAGGCTGGAGGGCAGTGGCGTGATCTCAGCTCACTCCAAGCTCCGCCTCCCAGGTTCACGCCATTCTCCTGCCTCAGCCTCCCAAGTAGCTGGGACTACAGGCTCCCACCACCATGCCTGGCTAATTTTTTTGTATTTTTAGTAGAGGCGGGGTTTCACCATGTTAGCCAGGATGGTCTCCATCTCCTGACCTCATGATCCACCCATCTCGGCCTCCCAAAGTGCTGGGATTACAGGTGTGAGCCACTGTGCCTGGCCAAATGTGATTAATTCTTAAAAGTTGCTAGTGACAGAACAGGAATTAAAAGAAATTAAAGAATGTGTAAGCAAATACTCAGTTGTATGTAAGAAAATCCAATTCCTCCTGAAGAAGAGAAAGAGCTGGAGTCCTTTAAAATTAACTGCCTGTTTTTCTGTGGCTAGTGAGCCTTATCTCTCCCTTTCCCAGGCATTGTGAAGACCCTGTTTCTCTAGCAGTGCAGCTGCAAGGTCACTAGGCAGATAAACTCAAGTCGTAAAACATGTTGTTCCTTGAAAAGTAAGAAATGATGTAATGCATGTCTTAATTGAATAACTGTCTTTGTTTCTCGCTTCTGTAATATGCTTCCCCCTGCACAGATCTCCCCCTGCCCCACAAAATGCTTAAAAGGTAACCGGACTCTTTGTTCGGGGCTCAGTCCTTTGGATGTTAATCCGACTGGGTGGGTGCACCTAAATAATTAAATAATTCCTCCTCAACCCCTCGGTCTCTCTGATTCCTTAATTATGCTGCTGCAGTGAAACTTACGAACTTAGAATTTGTTGAAGGAAGATTATTTAACATGAATCAACTACTTTGTTATAGGACTACTTAGCTCTTATATTTCTTATGTTTGTTTTAGAAAACTTGCATTTTTCAGAAATTTATTTCCACTGAATTTTGATTATTTTTGTCATAAAGCTTTTCAATAAACATTTTACTTATCCTCTTAATGTTTGTAAGATCTGGGGTGATTATATCATTTTTATTTCTGACATTGGCTATTTGTGCATTGTCTTTTTTCTCTGATTTTTAAGTGTTTATTATTCATTTTGTAATTTGTTTTTGCCAGAGGTTTATCAATTTTTGTCTCATCAAGGATTTATCACTGTTTTCATAAAAGCAATATTTAGTTTTGTTTACCGACTTTATTTTATATGTGTTTCTATTTCATTAATTTCTTACCTTGTATGCTTGAAAAAACTCCAGTACTGATGAGAGAATAATTATGAGGCTGGCATCTAGAAGGTAGATGTCCTAGGAGGATAGATGGGCAATGGCCACATTATACACATTGTTTGTTACTCAGCTGTCATCTCACTTCCTTATTGCCTTCTCTTACTTCTTTCACTATAAAAATTCTTTAAAAAGATTTGTCGAGGCCGGGCGCGGTGGCTCACGCCTGTAATCCCAGCACTTTGGGAGGCCGAGGCAGGCGGATCACGAGGTCAGGAGATCGAGACCATCCTGGCTAACACGGTGAAACCCCGTCTCTACTGAAAATACAAAAAATTAGCCGGGCGTGGTGGCGGGCACCTGTAATCCCAGCTACTTGGGAGGCTGAGGCAGGAGAATGGCGTGAACCCGGGAGGCGGAGCTTGCAGTGAGCAGAGATCGCGCCACTGCACTCCAGCCTGGGCGAAAGAGCGAGACTCTGTCTCAAAAAAAAAAAAAAAAAAAAAAAAGATTTGTCGAACAAATTAATAGCAAGTCAAGTTTTGTCACAGTGACTAAATCTTTTCTTTAACCATTAGTTTATGGTTATTAATAGATTAAATATTTATGTAATAGTTTTAGTAAGAAACTGGATAAAAAAACTAGATTTGTCATTGCTGATCTATTAGGATGGCATTTCTTTTATTAGCCCTAAATTATATTACACTGACTGCAGATAATTATGCTAATTTAATGAGCAGATTTCTCAGTAACAAAACTCTGGATAGATATTATGAAGTTTCAAGGAAGCTACCTCTAAAAGAGCCAGACCACGCCTAAATAAATAAGCAAAAATTTAAATAATTAGAAAAACAAAAACTCTTTATTATTGCTTCTCCATTCTAGAGAAGAAAACGTGCTTTTTAGAGCACTTTACTTTCTCAGAATGTTTAATGACATGTATCACTGTGAACTTTTAAGTAGGTCCTTAAATATTATAATCATTTATTTTTTGTTCACGCATACTCAAATTGATTCACAGATATAGAGTCCTTTAATTCAAGATATAGCTTGTACCTAGTTTCATTAAAATTTCACAAGTGGATGCGTGTAGAAAGTGGTGCCTTTCCACTCGTAATTAATTATTTAAAGAGTAGGTTCTTGAGTTTGATGATTACTTGCTTTAGGTACTAACCCTTGCATTGGTTTTATAGACATATTAACAATGAAATGCAAAGCATTTTGCAAGTTGACACAAAGAAAAGCAAAATCACATTAGGAATTGCAAAGCTGTCATTGGTTTGACATTGAAACATACACTTATGTTTGATTTTTTTTTTTAAAGGCCATTAGGGAAAAAAAAAGTCCAGTCTTTTTATGTTTCATGATGAATTTTCCCTGGTTTTTATTTATAGGAATGAAATTTAAGACTACTTATAGCAAAAAACATTCCCCTGGATATAGTAATTCGTTTATCTAAAGGTATACCCTTAAAGCCAAACACAATGCAGTTAGTATTTCAAGGAGAACGTGAATCTTCAGTTCTTTGTGTGATAAATATGAAAAATGATTGAAGAACAGGAAGCTAAAAAGGGAAAAGCAAACTCTTACATAGTTTTTTCAATGTTCCATCTAAATATAAAAAGGAATATTCAAAGATGATATGGATATAATAGAATGACATAACACATTTATATTGTGAGAAAACATTAAAATGAACTTCACATACATTTGCTTTCAGCTCAATATCCTTTGTATTATTTTTAATTTATTATCATGTGAAAACTGGCTGTTTCTGGTTAAAATACACATACTGGGAAATAATCAGAGCACCAATTAGGTGGATAAAGACTACTCTACTATTTTTTTTTTTTTTTTTTTTTTTTTTTTGAGATGGAGTCTTACTCTGTTACCCAGGCTGGAGTGCAGTGGCGCGATCTCAGCTCACTGCAAGCTCCGCCTCCCGGGTTCACGTCATTCTCCTGCCTCAGCCTCCTGAGTAGCTGGGACTACAGGTGCCCGCCACCACACCCGGCGAATTTTTTTGTATTTGTGGTAGAGATGGGGTTTCACCGTGTTAGCAAGGATGGTCTCGATCTCCTGACCTTGTGATCTGCCTGTCTCAGCCTCCCAAAGTGTTGGGATTACAAGCGTGAGCCACTGCACCTGGCCTACTGTACTATTTATAGTACATTATTTCAACATTGTTCTAAGCTAATGCTCACCAAAATAACTTATTGGGATGATGGCAACGTTCTCTAGTTGCCCAATATAGTAGCTACTGGCACATTTAGCTACTGAGCACTTGGAATGTAGCTAGTGCGTCTGAGGAACTACATTTTAGATTTCATTTAATTTTATTGACAGATGGAATCTAATTAAACTAAAGAGCTTCTGCACAGCAAAAGAAACTATCAACAGAGTAAAAAGACAACCTGCAAATGGAGAAAATTTTTATAAACTATGCATCTGACAAAGGTCTATTATCCAGAATCTATAAGAAACTTAAACAAATTTATAAGAGAAAAACAAACCCCATTAAAATGTAGGTGAAGGACATGAACAGACTCTTCTCAAAAGAAGACATACATGCAGCCAACAAGCATATTAAAAAAAAAGCTCAACATTACTGATCATTAGAGAGATGCAAATCAAAACCACAGTAAGATACTATCTCACAACAGTCAGAATGGCCATTATCGAAAAGTCAGAAAATAACTGGCAAGATGTTGACGAGGTTGCAGAGAAAAAGGAATGCTTATGCACTCTTCATAGAAGTGTAAATCAGTTCAACCATTGTGGAAAGCAGTGTGGTGATTCCTCAAAGAACTAAAAACAGAACAACCACTTGCCCCAGAAATCCCATTATGAGAGATATACCCAAAGGAATATAAATTGTTCTATTATGAAAACACATGCACACATATGTTCATTGCAGCACTTTTCACAATAGCAAAGACATAGAATCAACCTAAAGGCTTGTCAATGGTAGACTGGATAAAGAAAATGTGGTACATATACACCATAGAATAGTATGCAGCCCTAAAAAAGAATGAGATCATGTCCTTTACAGGAACATGGGTGGAGCTAGAAGCCATTAACCTTAGCAAACTAACATGGGAACAGAAAACAATATGCTTAAGGGTATGCATATTATCACTTGCAAGTGGGAGCTAAATGATGAGAACACATAGTGGGGAACAACAGACACTGGCGCCTATTGAAGGGTAGAGGATAGAGGGAGGGAGAGGATCAAGAAAAATGGGTCCTAGGCTTAATACCTGTGTGACAAAATAATCTGTACAACAAACTCCCATGACACAAGTTTACCTACATAACAACCCTGCACATGTACCCCCAAACATAAAAGTTTAAAAATATATATGTAATTTTAAGTAATTTAAATTTCAAATTAAATAGCCACATATGGCTAGTTACTACAGTAGTATATGGTATGTTATTTACATTTACATGAGTTAAAATACATAAAATACTTAGAACAGTATTTGGCAGATAATCCATACTTACTTGTGTTTCTTGTTGCTGTTGTTATATAATTGTATGCTTAAAGTATGTTTTGAAAAATAGGTTGTATAATTCTGGGCACTGTACACTGCTGGTTTTCCCTCCTTACACCTTTGCCTATTTTTGCAAACACAATGGTGCAAATTTGGACTTATGCCAAAATGTTCTCCAAAGAAAAATGATGCAAAGAAAACTACATTCTTCATTTCTGAATCTCATATCAAATAAAGAAAACTGAACAAGGGCACTGAAACTATTTTACATATTGAATAAGAAAAATCAGTTTTATTTTTTTGGTTCACAGAATTGCAATCTGTATTTATAACACCTTATTAACTACTTGCTTTAAGCAGTTTAGGGTGCATATAACTTGCACCTGAAGAAAAATTTAAATACCCTTAAGAGTACTCTCCTTTGGGTGTATACCCAGTAATGGGATTGCTGGGTCAAATGGTATTCCTGGTTCTAGATCTTTGAGGAATTGCCACACTGTCTTCCGCAATGGTTGAACTAATTTGCACTCCCAACAACAGGGTAAAAGCATTCCTATTTCTCCACATCCTCTCCAGGATCTGCTGTTTCCTGAATTTTTAATGATCACCATTCCAACTGGCGTGAGATGGTATCTCATTGTGGTTTTAATTTGCATTTCTCTGATGACCAGTGATGATGAGCTTTTTTTCATATGTTTGTTGGCTGCATAAATGTCTTCTTTTGAGAAGTGTCTGTTCGTATCCTTTGCCCACTTTTTGATGGTTTTTTTTTTCTTGTAAATTTGTTTAAGTTCCTTGTAGATTCTGGATATTAGTCCTTTGTCAGATGGATAGATTGCAAAAATTTTCTCCCATTCTGTAGGCTGTCTGTTCACTCTGATGATAGTTTCTTTTGCTGTGCAGAAGGTCTTTAGTTTAATTAGATCCCATTTGTCAATTATGGCTTTTGTTGCCATTGCTTTTGGTATTTTAGTCATGAAGTCTTTGCCCATGCCTATGTCCTGAATGGTATTGCCTAGGTTTTCTTCTAGGGTTTTTATGGTTTTAGGTCTAACATGTAAGTTTTTAATCCATCTTGAGTTAATTTTTGTATAAGGTGTAAGGAAAGGGTCCCGTTTCAGTTTTCTGCATATTGCTAGCCCATTTTCCCAACAGCATTTATTAAATAGGGAATCCTTCCCCTATTGCTTGTTTTTGTCAGGTTTCTCAAAGATCAGATGGTTGTAGATGTGTGGTGTTATTTCTGAGGCCTCTGTTCTGTTCCATTGGTCTATATGTCTGTTTTGGTATAAGTACCATGCTGTTTTGGTTACTATAGCCTTGTAGCATAGTTTGAAGTCAGGTAGCATGATGCCTCTAGCTTTATTCTTTTTGCTTAGGATTGTCTTGGCTATACAGACTCTTTTTTGGTTCCATATGAAATTTAAAGTAGTTTTTTTCTTATTCTGTGAAGAAAGTCAATGGTAGCCAGATGGGGATAGCATTTAATCTATAAATTACTTTGGGCAGTAAACCATTCTACTATAAAGACACATGCACACATATGTTTATTGCAGCACTATTCACAATAACAAAGACTTGGAACCAACCCAAATGCCCTTAATTGACAGACTGGATAAAGAAAATGAGGCACATATACACCATGGTATACTATGCAGCCATAAAAAAGAATGAGTTCATGCCCTTTGCAGGGACATGGATGAAGCTGGAAACCATCATTCTCAGCAAACTAATACAGGAACAGAAAACCAAACACCACATGTTCTCACTGATAAGTGGATGCTGAACAGTAAGAACACACGAGCACAGGGAGAGAACATCACACACCGGGGCCTGTTGGGGGGCGAGCGGCTAGGGGAAGGAGAGCATTAGAGCAAATACTTAAGGTAGATGAGTGGTTGACGGGTGCAGCCAATCACCATGGCACATGTATACCTATGTAACAAACCTGCACGTTCTGCACATGTAGCCCAGAACTTAAAGTAGATTTAATTAAAAAAAAAAAAAAAAGAGTACTCTCATTTCTGTTCTTTGTTGATTTTCTGTCACTAACCTGTATTTGGGGCTCCTTGTATGTCATGAATTCTCTCAATATCCCTGTGAAGCAGGCCAGTTGATGTTGTACAATAATCTTTATTATCTTTTGTGTAAGGAATTGCATTTTCCTACATTTTTCATGTAGTAGCCTCAAGTTCTTTACTGAGACCACAGCTGAATTTTAATTCTATTCTTTTTAAAAGAATACTGTATGCTTAAGCAAAGATTCTGAATCTATGTGGATAACATTAGTAGTTTTAAGCTAAAACAAATGCAGCTTTCAAAAGTGCATATGTCCCACAATGCCAAGATTCAGACTGAGTCAAGGACAGGAACAACACCTGCTACTACTACTGATCTTTCCTTGTGTTAATATTTCTCAAATCAAAAACGTTGGTGTCAATATGAAAGCAGCAATTAGAAAAAGATAATACAGAGCAAAAGAATAATGCATTCAAAAAATTAATTTAGATAAAATTTGAGATCAATTTACTGCAACATTGATGAGAAATAATATTTCCCTGCCAGACTATACTTTTACAAAAGACACTAATAGAATAATGAAACTTACATGGTATACAACTGACTTTCTATTCGGCTTAGAAATATCCCAGATTATCACGTGGTAGTGACTCCGTCTTCAACGCCTTTTCTCCTCTTCAACACCTTCAGGGCAAAGCCTGGGCAGATTGTTAATCCATTCTATCTAAATCCACTGAAATGATTGCAGGACACATTACTAGAGAGAGGAACATTTCTCTCCTTTAGATGCTGATTGCTGCCTAATAGATATAATCCCCTTCAACTTTCCTAACTTCAACTTCGTTTAAGAACCTACCGTCATCTGCTTCACAAGGTGCTTCACAGCTACTCTCAGCGGCAGGGGGTATAAGTGAAGAGTTCCAGCCAATCATGGTGGCCTCATTGCCTTTGAAGAGATTGGCTTAGCCTGAGCTCCACGTTTATGCTGGCCAATAAGAAGAATGCTGTGGAGGGAAGTGCGTGGGGGAAGGGATTTTTTTGCTGGTAAAACATGAAAAGCAGAAAGAAATGGGCCTTTCTCTGCCTCTGAACTTTACTGCGAACACAACGATGCTGCAGCTCATGGAGCCCTCATCTAACCTGTAGGAAAGCTAACCTGAGAGCACAGGCTGGGAAGTGAAACTCATCAACCAATGAGGTCCTTACTGGGGTCATGGAAGTGTTGCAACGACCATCGTTAAGAGGGGCTCCATCTCCTAATTTCCTGGTTTGGGGGGTAATTATTGCCACATGATTCAAGACATTCGCTTGGGGAGTTTTCAGTTTCTTGTAGCTACAAGCTTCTTAACTCATAGGTTTAGCATTATTTTTACGTCTATAGAAAAGCATTAAGTAATTATTTGAAAAAGGCAAGAATAGGAGGATAATTTATCACATTTTTTTACAAAGTGCTGAAACAACTTATGATTATGTTGCCTTGGATTTCTTTGATTTGTTCATTTCTGCCCGTGTGTACACCAAGTCAGTTCACCTGTGTTTCTAAGCTATACGGCAAAGAAAGAGCATTTTAAAACTTCTTTATATTCAGAATCTGAAACAAATTCATTCATCATTTAAAAAAAGATAAAATCAAAGAAAAACAAGAAACTTGATTAAATAGAAATTTTATTAAAATATTCAGATGTTCAGTGAAGATAAGGTACTGATTCTGATTCCATATAAACATTCTCTATATTCTGCAAGAAAATTCATTCATAAATGTTATAATTACACTGGCATTTACAATCCTTTCTCTTTTTACCATTGTAGAAGATGAGTTTCTATCAGATTGTGGAGACTTCAATTTTCTAGAAACTACACATGTTGGATCAGACTTGGTCTCGATGCTGCTATTTGAGATGATGTGACAGGGTCTCCAGGCTTCCTGATGTTGTGCCATATAATGGGTTTGAGAAGGAATAGACAGAACTCTGACGAAGAAAAACACATTTGAAAGGGTGGAATTTTAGGCATTAAGATAAGAAAACTCTTTAAAGATCACGCAGAATGCAGCAAAGGTCCCAATGGATTTTCACTGGAGTAATAACTAGAACATCCCTGACTCTTCTTCCAGCACCTACAGCCCACACTGCTTGAGTTTCTGACACAAGCCTAGATTCCATGTATCCTGGGGTCCTCAGGACTTAGGCACCACTGCCTCACCTCTGGTCGGGTGGGGAAATGCAATGACCAATATTTCGACTACTGCTTTCTCTGGTGCTGGTTTCACTAAGCCTTCTGTATTGAATATAGTTAGGTTAGACAAAACAAAACAAAACCAATGCCTTTAAGTAAATAAAAGCATTTTATATAAGTTTAAATGCCATTTCATTTAAGTTTCCTGTAAACTATAATTATATATATTATATATATATATAATATAAAACGTGGGAAATTCTATAGGACAAGCAATCTGGTTTCTTCAACAAATAATGTGCAAGAAAAAAAAATAAGACAGAATGGAACCTAGAGATGAAAAGAGATTTAAGAGCCATATCTACCCATTTGGATGCATATACCTTCTAAAATTTCTGATTTTTAAAATATAGCAACAACACAAAACCCCAAAAGAAAACCTTTTAGGTTTTAATGAGACAATTGGGGTAGGATGAATACTGAATGTTTGATGGCCTCAAGACATTCTTGTTAAATGTTTAGGGATGATCCTGCAGTTACATTTTTAAAAGTCCTTGTCCTTTAAAAACACAACTGAAGTCTTTACAGTTGAAATTAAATGATATTTGAAATTTGTTTGAAAACCTTCTGGAGGGTGAGGAAATGGAGGGCAGTAGAGGTGAAACAACAATGACCATGGGTTGACAGTCCTTGAAGCTGGCTGATGGGCACGTGGCAGTTGCTTACAATGAATATTGCCATGAATATTGGCATGAATTGCCAACGAATGTTGCCATGAATATTCTCTCCATTTCTGTATCAGAATGTGAGAGTTTTCTCCAATAATTTAAAACATAGTTTGAAAGATAGACTTAGAGAAGTCTATCTTTCTGATGATGGGGAAAGTAGACCTAGTTTAATCAATACAAAGTCATTTGTTTCTGAAACAATAGAAATCAAAATAGCCACAAAGGTCAGGAGATGTGCCAGGATTTCTTCTTTAGCCATTCATAATGAAAGGAAAACAGAAAATGAAAAAGGAATTTTTCTTTTATCGAAATAGAAAATAAACATAAATCACTTCTGAGGTGCTCTCAAGTCATCCATTACACCACCACACTCACACACAGTGGAAACCATTTTGAAAGCAGGTTGAAAGGTGGGTCTTTGATGGAGGCCCCTTCCTGTACTTGCTGAGAAGTACAAATCTGAATGCAACAGAATCCATCTCAGTAGAAAGTAAAGAATCCATAATACCTATCGAGCCACTTTTTAGTTACTACAAGTTTATGAGGCACTAATACAAAAAACATAAAATTGAAAAGATCTCACTTTAATTCCTTATCTCATGTGTACCTTTCAGACACTAAAAGTTAAACTAAGCTGAGGATAAAAAATATTAAATGTTCTGGCCAGGTACAGTGGCTCACGCCTGTAATGCCAGCACTTTGGGAGGCCAAGGAAGGCGGATCACCTAAGGTCAGGAGTTTGAGATCAGCCTGGCCAACATGATGAAACCCTGTCTCTACTAAAAATACAAAAATTAGCTGGGCATGGTGGCAGGCGCCTCTAATCCCAGCTACTCAGGAGGCTGAGGCAGGAGAATCACTTGAACCCAGGAGGTGGAGGTTGCAGTGAGTCGAGATCACACCATTGCACTCCAGCCTGGGTGGCAAGAGTGAAACTCCGTCTCAAAAAATAAATAAATAATAGATTTTCTTTCTCCAGTAAAAATGAAAATATATTTATATTACACCATCCTATTTTGTCAAAAAGATATATTACATTTGTTTTCTTAAATGTGTATGTGTTTTTTTATCCATGAAGTAGGTCTCCCTTTTCATTTTTACTCTGTCTTGATTTACTTGTCGAATCATCTAAATTCATTTTCTCTGTGCTTTAGGAAATCATTTACTTCCCGTTTTCATTCCTACCAAAACAATACTAAAAGTGTGTATCATATCATTATTGATTAAAACACAAAAATTAAAAAGTCAAGTGCTTTGTTAGGCTTCGGCCACAGCACTCAAGGCTCTTAAACTACCAGAAACCACCTGACCTGATACCTTGCTACTCATTTTCATAACCAGGAACAAGATAAAAAACTGTGACCTATTTTCATAAAGAAAGAGAATAATTAAAACTTTAGCTTTCTATAATACTCATTTTATAAGGAGTGAATTTTATATAGCTCTAAACTCAGATGTAATAAAACTTTTACAGTTCGGAAGTGGTGTGTCATAACTAAACTTACTTTATATCCAGATGAATTCTCATAACACTTACTTAAGAAAGGAATGGGAAAATAAAAAGAAAGGAATGAGATATTGATCAAAGAGTGCAAAGTTTTTGTGCAGGATGTATAAATTCTGGGGATCTAATGTATAGCATGTGACTATAATAATGTGTGATATACTCAAAATTTGCTAAGAGAGATCCTAAATGTTTTCAGCACACACACACACACACACACACACACAAAGTAAACTATGTGAGGTGATAGATATTTTAAATAGTTTCATTGTAGTAATCACTTCACAATGTATACCTATAGTAAAATATAATGTATACCTTAAACATATAAAAGTTTTGTCAACTATACCTAAAAATGACTTAAAATATAAAAAATCTAAAAAAGGAACAAGAAAGGTTTTCCTTGCCATTTTCTCCCTGCTTATAAAAATAAGGGGTAGCCCCAAAAAGGGCCAAGGAAGATGTAATACATTCTCATTTGTTTTTTCTCTTCTAAGTTATCAGGTAATGGCCCTCACTAGTCACCCTAAATTTAAACAGAACATAGAATGCTATCCTCTCTTTTGTTTTTGAAAATAAAATATGAAAGACATTCAATGAATAGTTACTGTAAGCAGCTGACTAATACTCTGTGGGTTAAACTGATATTTCCCAGATTTTTCAGCTCTTTTTGAGTATAAATAGTGACCACAACACCATTTAACAGTGAAGTGATCTTACAAGCAGACTGAAACTGTCCTGAAATGGACAATTCTCACAGCATATTTATAGAGATGGAAACTCCTTTCTATCCCCAATTGAAATAACTCCACTAAAACATTTCTTTTAGTTATGATGTAGAAACATGATCAAGCAACACTGGTTCAGCCTGTGTGTGTGTGTGTGTTTGTATGTGTGTGCATATGTGTGAAAAGATATAGTTCACCCTTGCCACTTACCTCTGTTTTCTCTGGGTTGCTCCAGTTCCCGTAAACTGGATTGACAAAGGCACAGTTACCACTTCCCTCGGTTTTCCTTAAAGCACACAGGGCCATCAAAAATAAAAAACTATTGACATTTACCATAGTACATTTTCAGGTTATTGTTTGTTAGAAACTTTTGAGAGACATGTTGTCTAGCCAGCACACTTATTTTCATGAATGTATTACCATAAGTAAAGTTTGTTTTTTATTTTTTATTTTTTGCAGGACACCAAGGCAACCACATTCAGGAAAGCAAATGTAATTTGAACTCTGAGTGTTTAGATCCAAATAAACTCAGGCAAATAAAAGAAATTGCAAAAGTTAGTCTTAATGTTGATTTCTTAAAATATTACTCAGTGCAAAGTGTCCAACATTAGAAAGAACAATGTAATATGAAGCTGTACTAGTGATAAAGAAAGGCCATCTTGAAGTCCTTTACACTGCACAGTGCCAAACCACTACATCCTGAAGACTGTTTTCCATGACAGTATCTGTCATAAAGATCTGTAGCACATGAGTCATAGTCTTTAACATTTTAATCAGCAAATTTAAATACAACTGTTTTGAAAAGTTCTTTAGGGTAGTGTTTCATGAAACTCAAAAACAGCAAGCCCTTGGTAATATCACATATTGGACTACATGTGCATAATTCACTATAATTAACTGGGCTCCATATGATTATTTTCCTTTTATACTTTACTTAAGAATTAATAGACTTATAGGCCGGGCGTGGTGGCTCACGCCTGTAATCCCAGCACTTCGGGAGGCCGAGGCGGGCGGATCACGAGGTCAGGAGATCGAGACCATCCTGGCTAACACGGTGAAACCCCGTCTCTACTGAAAATACAAAAAAATTAGCCGGGCGTGGTGGCGGGCGCCTGTAGTCCCAGCTACTTGGGAGGCTGAGGCAGGAGAATGGCGTGAACCCGGGAGGCGGAGCTTGCAGTGAGCCGAGATCGCGCCACTGCACTCCAGCCTGGGCCACAGAGCGAGACTCCGTCTCAAAAAAAAAAAAAAAAAAAAAAAAAAAAAAAAAGAATTAATAGACTTATTAGAAGACACGCAGCCCTGGACTACTTGGTGACAACTGATGAAGAAAAAATGTCCATCGTAGGAACAAAAAAAAGTAACCAAGAACTAAATACACACACACACACACACACACGAAAGGATCCTATACACACATGTGTACACACACACACACATAAGAAAGGATCCTATACATGCATGTGTACACACACACACACACACAATGGAGAATGGAAGACCAATTCCAGGATGATTGTTTTAAGAGCTTAATGACACGAGTAACAAATATATAATGTATGATAATTGTATAACACAATGTATAATGTATGTATAATGTATATTTTTTGCCTATTCAGGATACAGTGAAAATTAATGTTTGTCAGTAATATAATTCTAAATCCCAAAATAAAATGTAGCAAGAAGGGGGCTCTTACTGATTTGATTTCTGAAAACAAATTGCCATAGGCATAACTGCCTATTGTCATCTACCAAACCACATGGTCCTTTTCAAAGAAACTGCAGCATCAGTGAGCCTAACAGTCTAATCTAGCTAATTATGTTTGGCTGGCAATACATTGTCCCTGTGGATTCAGTGTCTTTTAAGCTTCCTGATCTCCACTGGCTTAAATATACAATAGATTAAATGTTTCACCCTCACCGCGGGTACATTTTGCTTATTGATGAATAGGGCCATATGCATCTATTTTGTGGGTTATTATTGAAAAAAGTCTGAATTGAGTCAACAAATATCTGTTAATTCCTTAAGCACTAATTGAATGCTTATTAGTTGCTCTGATTAATTTGAGTAAGTTGTGTTTGACTCTTTGCCTTTACTTTATTCAAGACTAGTCTATGTTAAATTCTCGGAGTAGTAATCTCAGTACATAGCATGGTTAGTGCATGAACTGAGCCAGGGATGATCTTGGAGTTGAGATTGGGTAGGGAGTGAAGTGTAGTTTTGAAATGCATCAAAATACCAAAGCAGGAAAAATTGGACATGGAAGTAGGGATGATCAAAACATAATAGAAATTAGGAACTAAGTAAAGATAAGACAGACACTGACACCAAGAGCTCAGAAAAATTAAGAGGCTGAAATCAGGCATGAAATCAGGAAGCAGGAGGAAACCCAAACCACAGGGCTAGACAGGACAGATGGTCAAAGCCTGAGCATACAACCAGGAGCTGAAGGGACCAGCTTGGCCGTCAGTTGCAAGGGTGTGAGGCAGAAGCAACACAAAAGATCTTGATATGAAGCAATTATTTTTGGTCTTAAACTGCTGGGACTCCAGATGACCCAGACCACGGTCAGCAGGCAGAAGCCAGGTAAATTTATATAATTCTCAGCTCTGTTAATTCAATTATTGAAGCTACTTGTCTTCTGAAAGGGTTTTAAGTCTGAAATAATTTTCTATTAAAATGAAAAAACATTTGAAGGTGTCTGGCCTTCAAGATTTGGGTAACTACAAAGAAGGAAGATGATATTTAAGAGTAAGGATGTGGAGTTGTAATAAAAGAAGAAAGGGTTTCAGTGTGAGTATTGGAAGGTGAGGAATGGCAAATCCTTCCTACTTCAACTTTTGTTTTTTAGTAGTCTCAAATTGCTTTTATTTTTCCTAGATTAAAGATATATCTCCCATTCTTGAAAATCCCTGGACTATTAGACTTAAATTTTAATGTCTTTCCTATTTATTTATAAGGTAAACTATTACACCGTCCACAGATTCTTCCATGAAGGAAATTGCTAGTGTCACTCTATACATTTAGTATTTCAAGTTCAATATTATGATTTTCCATTTTCATCAACTATGTCAATTTGACATTCAAACACAGGCAATTTTACTTAAAATGGTGGATCCTTACATGAGGGAAATAAAATGTTTGTTTCATTATAAAGTTTCCTGCCAGTTCTGAAACTCAATGGTGTAATGATGAGTCTTCATCAGGCCAAAAAAAAAAAAATGCAATGTTTGACTTACTGTATTTGTCAATATGCCGGTAGCTCTTAAGCAGTTGATTTTTTTTCCCCCAATGAATAAGTGAGTTGTAAGAATTGAGGTTCTAAAGAATATAACCACCTCTAGGAATAATGATGATAAAGGAA
Organism: Homo sapiens; assembly: GCF_000001405.40. NCBI lineage: Eukaryota > Metazoa > Chordata > Mammalia > Primates > Hominidae > Homo > Homo sapiens. The sequence goes on along the minus strand of NC_000010.11, from coordinate 19,727,626 downwards.
CTGACTTAGAAATTTTGAGTAGAGGAAAGGAAGTTGCATGGATCATATAAGTTTTTCTCCCTTATCATGCATTCATATAAATTATTATTAAGTTTATCTTATATCCATTACGTGCAGATACTGTGCGAAGTGGCATTCTGAATGTGTGACAAGAGACCTAGATCAATGCAGAACTAAGATAATTCTGATGGCAGTTTCCAATTTTAATTTAGCGAGCATATTTATACTTCTAATGGAATTCACTTATTAACTGACAACATTGTTTTAGTGTTGATAAAAGCATGGAAGTGTTTATAATAGTCTGAAACTATTACAAATGGGAAAGGAGAAAAAAAGAATAAAACAAAAACCAATCTATGTTACATCCAGTAAACATGACTTCGAGGTGAATATTTTGTATTTTTATTTTTAACAGCTTTATGGAGCTATAAATCACATGCCATACAATTCACAAACTTAAAGTACACAATTCAATGGTTTTCAGTAATGTTACTTTTATTAATTTTTAATTTTTAAAACAGTGGTATATATCACATAAAATTTGCCATTTTAACCATTTCAAGTATACAATTCAATGCCATTAATTCCACTCACAGTGTTGTGCTACCATTACCACTATTTCCAAAATGTTTTTATAACTCTGAACTGAAGCTCCATGGCCAGTGAGCATTAACACCCCATTCCCCTCCAACCAATCCCAGGTAAATTCTGATTTACCTTCTGTCTTTATGAGACTCGAGGTACCTCACCTAAGTGGAATCATACAGTATTTGTCCTTTTGTGTTTGGCTTATTTCACTTAGCATAATGTTTTCAAGATTCATCCATATTGTAGTATGTATCAGAAGTTTAATCATTTTTATTGCTGAATAATATTCCCTTGCATGTATATGTCACATTTTGTTTATTCATTCACCTGTTGATGGAAATTTGGGTAGTTTCCATCTTTTCACTATTGTGAATACTGCTATGGGGAACATTGCTGCATGAATATCTGTTTAAGTCTCTATTTTGATTCTTCGAGGTATATAACTAGGAGTTGAATTGATAGAACACACGGTAACTCTTTTTTAACTTTTGAGGAACTGCCAAACTGTTTTTGATAGTGCTGCACCATCTTACATTCCCACCAACAATGTGTGAGGGTTTCTATTTCTCCTCATCCTCATCAACACTTGTTATTTTCAGTTTTTAAATTATTATTATTATTGCTATCTCAGTGGATGTGAATTGGTATGTAATTGTGGTACTGATTTTCATTTCCCTAATGACTAGTGATGTTGAACATCTTTTTATGTTCAACTATATGTAATCTTCTTTGAAGAAATGACTATTCTAGTCCTTTGCCCATTTTGAAATTGGGTTGTCTTTTTGTTCTTAAGTTGTATGGATTTTTATATATTCTGGATATTAAACTTTTATCAGATACGTACTTTTGAATATTTTCTACCATTTTGTAGATTGTCTTTTCACTTTCTTGATAATGTCTTTTGTTGCACAAAAGTTTTTGATTTTGATAAAGTCCAATTTACTTATTTATTTTTTGTTGTTGCTTGTGCTTTTGGTGTCATATTTAAGAAAGAATCAATTTCCAAATCCAAGATCATGAAGATTTACCACTATGTTTTCTTTTAAATGCATTATGGCTTTTGCTCTTACATGTAGCTCCTTGATCCATTTTGAGCTAATTTCTGTATGTGGTGTGAAGTAGGGGGTCCATCTGCATTCTTTTGCATTGCAAAATCCAGTTGTCCCAATATCATCTACTGAAGAGACTATTTGATCCCCATTGGATGGACTTGGCATTGTTGTCAAGCATCAATTCATGACAGATGTATAGGATTATATTTGAATTTTCAATTCAGTTCAATTCAATTGATCTATATGTCTGTTCTCATGCCTCATGCCGATACCACACTGTTTTGTTTACTGTACTTTTGTAGTAAATTCTGAAATTTGGAAGTTTGAGTTCTCCAACATTGTTTTGGCTATTTGGTACCCTTGCAATTTATAAATTTGAGAAGAGGTTTTTCACTTTTGCAAAAATGGCTGTTGGAATTTTCGATAGAGATTGCCTTGAATCTGCAGGTTGCTGTATTAGTCTGTTCTCATGCTGCTGTGAAGAAATACCTGAGCCTGGGTAATTTATAAAGGAAAGAGGTTTAATTGACTCACAGTTCCACAGGCCTGGGGAGGCCTCAGGTAACTTACAATCATGGCAGAAGGGGAAGCAAATATGCCCTTCTTCACACAGTGGCAGCCAGAAGTGCAGAGCAAAAGCCGGAAAAGCCCCGTCTAAAGCCATCAGACCTTGTGAGAACTTACTCACTATCCTGAGAATAGCAGCATGAGGGTAACCACCCCCATGCTTAGATTACCTCCCACTAGGTCCCTCCCACGGCTTGTGGGGATTATGGAAACTAGAATTCAAGATGAGATTTGGGTGGGGACATGGAGCCAAACCATATGAGTTGCTTTAGTTAGTATTAACGTCTCGACAATATTGTCCTCCTTTCCATGAACTTAGTGTGTCATTCCATTTAGTTAGGTCTTATTTAATTTCTTTCAATAATGCTTTGTGATTTTAAGTGTATAAATCTTTCACCTCATTGGTTAAATTTATTCCCAGGTATTTTATTCTTTTAGATGCTATTGTCAACAGAATTGCCTTCAAGATTCCTTTTCTGATTGTTCATTGCTGGTATGTAGTAATACAACTGATTTTTAAGTGTTGCTCTTATACCTTGTAACTTCTCTGAATTTGTTTATTTGCTCTAGTAGCTTTCTTGTGGATTCTTTGAGATTGCTTATATATAGTATCATGCCATTTATGAATACTGAAGTTTATGTCTTCTTTTCCAATTTGAATGCGTTTTACTTCCTTTTTTCCCATTTCCTCTGGCAAAAGTTTATTTTTGATAACTACATTTATCCCTAGCTTAGTGGGGCTATAAAACTTCCTTAATGTAAACAATTTAAAGCTAGTGTATAGGAAAATTATGATGGCAATGTTGGACAGTTTCAGGGTGTAGTCTCATTGCCACTTAAAGTGAACATCTTTGGACTAGATAAGTGAATAAACCTTTATCTGGGTTGAAAGGAAACAAAGGTGACAGTGAGACTAGCTGTCACTCCGAATGCTGAAGTGTCTAGGACAGAGTGACAGCACAATGTTCCTGCTGAGAGGCCTGTCCTTCAAAATGAACATCTTTTTACACACATTGCAAGTTTGTTAATTTTTAAAATACACTTTTATAATTTGTTTCAGTGAGTGTTTTCTATTAACTTTATTTACTAAATTGATTGCCATTTTTGGTGATAAATGGGTGATTTAATTTCTTTATGTTAACTACAGATGTGTGCTTCCCCCTCCCGCCAATTTACCAGTAAGTCACTTGGTGTGTCTGTAAAACTGCTCAGGCTGCTTAGTGAAACTCACCGGACACCTAGTTTCCATTACCATCTCATGGGAGTAACACTGTTACAATAGTTCATATTTAAAATTAGGTTTAGAAAATATTCAAAGAAAAATGAGCTCAAAAGCTTAAATTTTTTTATTTTTTATTTTTAGAGACAGAGTCTCACTCTGTTGTCCAGGCTTGTATACAGTGGTGTGATCATAGCTCACTGCAGCCTTGAACTCCTGGGCCCAAGCGATCCTCCTGCCTCAGCCCCCTGAGTTGCTGGGACTATAGGTGCATGCCAACACACCTGGCTAATTTTAAAACTGCTCAAGCTGCTTAGTGAAATTCACCAAACACCTAGTTTCTACTACTATCTCACGGGAGTAATACTCTTGCAACATGTTCATATTTAAAAGTAGACTTAGAAAATACTCAAAGAAAACTTAGCTCAAAAGTTCAAATTTTTTTATTTTTTATTTTTAGAGACACATTCTCACTCTGTTGCCTAGGCTGGTTTACAGTGGTGTGATCATAGCTCACTGCAGCCTTGAACTCCTGGGCCCAAGCGATCCTCCTGCCTTGGTCTCCTGAGTTGCTGGGACTATAGGTGCATGCCAACACACCCGGCTAATTTTTTTAATTTTTTGTAGAGATGGGGTCTTGCTATATTGTCCAGTCTGGTCTTGAACTCAAAACTCCTGACCTCAAGCAATCCTCTCATCTTGGTCTCCTAAAGCACTGGGATTATGGGTGTGAGCCACTTTGCCTGACCTGAGCTCAAAACTTTAGCACAGATTTTTTTAAGTGAAAGGGAATACCATTTGTGAGGGTCATGGATGATTATTTCTGTCGTATTTTGGTGGATTGTGTTATAAAACTTCAGTGTCAAAACCTGTCCACTCGAAAGTATGAAGAATCATACTGTCTGAAATTAGGATAATTACAATGCAGCTGTCAAATGATGTTAATGGATAAACATAATAATTTATCTATCAAAAGATATTTTCCCTGTATTTCGTGTGTGGAGGCATTGGTTCTCATGCTTCCATGAGTGAAATGATTTCTAAACACTGTTTCTAAGATGTCAGACAATATCCTAAAATCCGAGAAACAGTCATCATGAGTTAAGTGCCTGAAAGGAATTGATGCTCTCCAATGTGGTAACTCACCCCTTAAGATGGTGGAAAGAGAATTTTTAAACGTTACTTATCATTTTTCTTACTTATTGACATTCACCCAACATGTCTAGGACACATACTACGTACTAAACATTGCACTGGGTCCTAGACTTACTAAGTTGATTAGTATATGGCTCCTACCTCTAGAGCTTTTCAGAGGGTGGCAACTGTTGGTTTCTGTCTCTTAGATGAAATGACATGTTTATAAAAATGCTTATCACAAGTAGGTGCCCACCGATAGTTGAGTGCTATTCTCTTCACCTCCTTTCCTTATGCTTTCCTCCTTTTGTCATTTACATCTTCTTTTAGACTTCCTGCTTCTTTCTCCTGACCCCCAAATTTGTGAAATGAAAGGACATTGGTATAAAGAACAATAAGGAGGTGTCAAAATTAATAATCACTGTAGTATTTTAAATTTTTTCCACCTTTTTTTTTTTTTTTTTTTTTTTTTTTTTAGAGACATGGTCTTGCTCTGTCACCTAGGCCGTAATACAGTGGCGTGATCCTAGCTCACAGCAGCCTCCAACTCCTGGGCTCAAGAGATCCTCCTGCCTCAGCCTTCTGACTAGCTGGGACTACAGGAATGTGCTACCACACCCAGCTAATTTTTTAATTTTTTGCAGAGATGACATCTCACTATATTGCCCAGGCTGGTCTTGAACTTCTAGCCTCAAGCAATCCTCCCACCTCAGCCTCTGAACGTACTGGAATTACAGGTATGAGCCACCATGCCTAGCATTACTTTTGATTTAAAAAAATAGATTAATTTAGAGCCTAGCAGGAACCCTTGCAATCATCTTGTCTCTGTCTTCTATTACAGATGGAGCAACTGAGATTCTTCCCCAACTAGACTATAAGTTCTCTGAGGGATAAGGAACATGTCTGGTTTCCTCATCTCTCTGTCACAGCACCCTGTGAATGCCTAGAAGACAGTAAGAATCAACTGAATGTTTGTAGAAAGAATAACGATACTTACCTATAGTCTAAAGGTTTAGTGATGAAATGAAGTCCACTAACTTCTCTCTGCTTACTTCCACCCTCAATAACATATTTCCTCAAACCCCACAGAGGAAAGACAATTCATTTTTTACTATTGTTTAATAGAGCCATGTTTGTATGTAGCTTCCTGTTCCGCTTAGCCCAAGACATTAAGTGGGTCAGGAGTAAACTCTGCCCTCTGTTTTTTTCCATTCCTTTGTCACCTGCTCAAGTGGCAGCCCAGAGCCGCTTGGCGGCTTCCCTGAAGATGAGCAGAGTGCAGTAGATTAGGCATGGCCTTTCTATCTATTTCTACTATGGAGAAGCTGAAAAAGCTATATGGCTGGAAAAAAATCACCTTGGTACTAATTTGCTATTTTACAATATTTGAAAATAAAGACCTGTGGTCTTCCTATGTATTTCTTTTTAAACAATGAGGGGTATGGAACATCTATGAATAAACATCAAGGTCTTCAAGTGAATTTTCAGGTTGTGAAGTATGTGATTTGTTACTACTAGGGAGAGATGTTTCCTAACCATAAAAATGAATGTGACTTTTTTTTTTTAAAGGATGCAACTAAATTATAAAAGACAATCATTTCACTGGTGGGAATAGAATTCACTTATTCTGAGTCATGCCTATTGCATTACATTTTGTTTAGCATAATTAATGGTGAATCTGAGTTGTCCCACAGAAGTAAACCCTAATTCTCCTCTCCCTACTTCTACCTCTCTCATTTTAAAGTCTTCAATTAGTTTTTCCCAAATGTTTCCAGTCTTAAGATTTACGGAATTTGAAGCCTTTCCCAAAGATCCAATCTTCCAGATAAAAGGAAAATATAATATAGCATTCCAATAAAAATAAGATATTCTGGGGTTTCCATTTTTAATTATACCAATTTTTAATGTTCATTAAATATATTTCCCTCTGCCAAGAAGAGATCTTTTTAGAAATGTTTGTTTCTTAACCAGTGTACTGTTTTCTTTTTTTTTAACTTCATCTCATCCTAAAAATCAATGAGCAATGTTCTTTTATTTTTTTTTCTTCCCTGGCTTTATAACCTAAGGAAATAGGTTTTCTGGTATGTTTACTTGTTCATTTTTAACTTGCAGTAATCATGAGAGATTGGTGCCCTGTGTTTCCTATGTAACTCACAGTCTCAAATGATTCACATGTATCATCTTTCTTTTCTCAAAACCTTAAAGTGTTATTTTATACCTGGTCTCTGATCATTTACCGTCCATTTTTTAGCCTGTTTGAACAGACTGTTTTTTCAAGGAAAGTAATCATAAATTTTAATTTTAGGCAATATTTTGTCCTTTTTGTAATAAAGACAGATTTATAGCATTTTATAAAAAAAATAGCACAGTAAAAGAACATAAAACAAATACGAAGTAGGAAGTTGGAGAAGGGGAATCTGAGAACAGGAAAATAGAATTGAGGCAAAGGTAACAAGACGGAGAGTTCGTGAAATGGATATCATCGGAGTATGTATATTTATTAGAGGCAGGATGGAACTTAGACTTTAAGATTCTAGAAATCAAATTTAAGCAGGACAATCAATTACACAGGCTATAATTTCAAAAAGAAACAAACAAACCAGATGCTTAGAAGCACTTCTCTAACTCAGGAGATAAAGCATTTATTTTGTGGATCCTGTTACTGTAATCTAATGTAACAAAGTAACAAGTCCCTAACCACATTATTTTAGAAAATCAGCAAAGGGTTACACTAGGTTGTTTCAACTAATACTTTTCAAACACCAGGCTGAAACGATGCCAAGATGTGCTTCAGTAAAAGGTACCCAGAAAGTGTTGGCAAGGAGGGAGGAGAGATTTTATGGAGATCTTGAAGCACAACAACGCCTTAGAGAATTTGATTTTGGGGGCATTTTCATATGTTCATGTTTATCATAAAAAAGTCAACACCAAGCTTATAATTTATAGTCAACACCAAGCTTATAATTTACATCATTGCAGTGTAACACATTAGATCTGTTATAAAAGTCTACAGGTAGAAAAAAATTGCACAGAGTCATAAGGTAATAGAAGAAATAAGTTGAGTCTATGAAGTCAACCTATTCTCATTGAGTGTACACTCCCATAAAATACCATGTTATCTGACAACTGCTAATAAAAAGAGAGAGAGAGAGAAATTATAAGAGAATGTAAATAGTAAACTATCTAATGGTCTCTATTCCTGTCAAGATGATTTTTTTTTTTTAAATAAACAATCTGGAGGAAAAGGAAGAAAGAAAAGAAGCCAATTTGAAAAAGCAAGGATACATTAACGAGAAATGTCCATGAACTCACATTTTCATTTTCAAGTCCTTAAGGAACAAACTGAACCAAATGTTTGGGTGAAAAAGTTCAGAAAGAACTGCATTTGCAAACACAACCAGAAATGCCACAAAACGCAGAGGAAAAGATTCATCACCCAGGGTCATAAAACCAAACAATTGGAACACCAAATTTTGCCAAACTCATTCACATGATACAGCAGCTGCTTTATTTTTCTTCCACTCTTTTCAGGCAGGAAGTAAATATGCTGACCACAAAAGCCGTCACTGTTTAAGCACTCTTGCTGTGGCAGAGCATTTTAATGGGAACATGCCCAGGAATATGGAGGCAATTAGTAGGAATAAAACTGACCCAGGTTTCTGTAACTTAATCTTAAAGAAAACCCAGGCTGCCAATGGGAGCTCCGTCTTCACTCCACTTCACAAGTGCAGTGTTAGCAAATTCACAACCACCTAATAGAAACCAGATGCCTAGCAGGAAAGTCCCTTTAGAAATATATTTGATAGCATATATATATATATATATATATATATATATATATATGTATGTATGTGTATATATATATATATATGTATGTATATATATATATATGTATGTATATATATATATATAATTTGGACAGTGTCTTGCTCTGCTGCCCAGGTTGGAGTGCAGTCGTGGGATCATAGTTTGACCTCCTGGACTCACGCAATCCTCCCTACTCAGCCTCTTGGGTATCTAGCCCTACAGCCACGTACCGCCATGACCAGCTAATTTTTTTTTTAAATTGTTCTGCCGAGATGAGCTCTTGCTGTGTTGCCTCGAGCTCCAAGACTCAAGCAATCCTCCTGCCTTGGCCTCACAAAGCACTGGGATTAAAGGCATGAGCCACCATGCCTGGCCTAACAGCACATTTTAAAAACCCATCTCGGCCTAGTAAAATTACTGGAGTCAGTCTTTAGGTAATAATTAGAGAGAAAGACAAAAATATATATAGAAAAAGGTTCATCACAAATTAGAAAAATTAGATGCAAGCTCAATGTCTAATAATAGGAGAATGGTTAAATGACGATGCATGTACTTGACACAGCATTATTCAACCTTTTCAAGTCATGCTTTAAAGAATGTTTAGTGGTACAGGGCTGTGATATGGTTTGGATGTCTGTCCCCTTCAAATCTCATGATGAAATGCGATCCCTAATATTGGAGGTAGAGCCTGGTGGGACCTGACTGGATCATGGGGGCAGATCCCCAGGAAAGGCTTAGCGCCACATCGCCTAGGTGATGAGTGAGTTCTTGCGTTGAGTTCATGTGATTTGGTTGTTTAAAAGTGTGTGGGACCTCCTTCCGGTCTCTTTTGCTCTTGCTCTTGCTACGTGATGTGCTTGCTCCTGCTTTGCCTTCTGCCATTAGTAAAAGCTCCCTGATTCCTCCACAGGAGCTGAGTAGATGCTGGCACCAAGCTTCTTACGCAGCTTGCAGAATTGTGAGCCAACTAAGCCCCTTTTCTTTATAAATTATCCAGCCTCAGCCTCAGGTATTGCTGCTGCTGCTGCTGCTGTTGCTTCTTCTTCTTCTTCTTCCTCTTCTTCTTCGTCTTCTTTTTCCTTTCTTCCTCTTCCTCTTTTCCTCTTCCTCTTCTTCCTCTTCCTCTTCTTCCTCTTCTTCTTCTTCTTCTTCCTCTTCCTCTTCTTCTTCTTCTACTTATTCCTCTCCTTCTTCTTCTTCCTCTTCTTCTTCCTCTTCTTCTTCCTCTTTATTTATTTATTTATTTATTTATTTATTTAGGTAGAATCTCTCTGGAGTGCAGTGGCGCAATATTGGCTCACTGCAGCCTCCACCTCCTGGGTCCAAATGATTCTCATGTCTCAGCCTCCCAAGTAGCTGAAATTACAAGTGTGCACCACCATGCCTGACTAATTTTTGTATTTTTAGTAGAAACAGGGTTTTGCCATGTAGGCCAGGCTGGTCTTAAACTCCTGACCTCAAGTGTTTCACCAGTCTTGGCCTACCAAAGTGCTGAGATTGTAGGTGTGAGCCACTGCACCCAGCCCCAGCCTCAGGTATTTCTTTATAGCAACCCAAAAATGGCCTAACACAGGCTGTGGTTTTCAAAGTGTGGGCTCTGGACTTCTGGAGGTTCTAAGACACCTTCCAAGGATCTACAAATTCAAAACTAATTTTCGCATTAATAATAAAACACATGGGTAAAATATTCACTGAAATTTCAAGCTAAATTAATGAATTTTTATTATAACAGACTTTTTACTGGGATGACATTTACACTGATGGCCCAGATGTTATGGAGGGGAAAACTGCTGGTATCTTAGCACTAGTTCTTAGCACCAGTTAAAGCCATGGTGCCAAATTATACACTGTCTTCTTCATCACCATCTGCTGCCAGTAAAGTCAGTTATACCTCAAAATGACTTTGATAAATCCTCAAAAATTATTAATCATATTAACTTTCAAGTCATTAGTACAAGTCATTTTTATATTCTGTGAAATATGCATATAAAGCATCTTTGTGGAATACTGAAGCACGTGTTGTCTTATGGAAAAGCACTGAGATTGAGTTGCATGCTAAATGAGCCACTTTTTCATCTCGGAGCAGAACTTGTATTTGAAAGAATTACTGACAGAAAAACTATGGTTCTTTACACTAGGGCATTTGGCAGACATTTTCATAAAAACAAGTGAAGCAAGGCTCTTAAATCAAATAAAACACCTGATAGTATCTATTGCTGATGAGAAACTTGAAACATCCAAAGAAAAATGAGAATTTTGAAAAATCAGTATTGTCCACCATGAGTAGGACAAGTTCCCCATACTTTAAATACTTGATTGATGAGGGGTTTCTTTTTTGTTTTGTTTTTTGTTTTTTTGCTATATTGCAGAATGAAATGGGTCAGCATCTGACATACTGCATAAATCACTGAACCAATATTTTCTAAATGTAACATGCATGATGGTACAAAATCACACATAGGTAAGTGATCCATTCAAAGTGAAAAATAGACCAGTGAATTTTTAATGTAACAGTTCAAAAATTCTATGGATGTGGTTTCAGATTCTGCATTACAACTGCATTTTAAGAAACTACCTCACGTAAAGCTTTGGTGTAAAAGAAAAGTATCAATAATTATCTCAAAAGCTAGTAAAATACACCTTCTGTATTTTTCCATTCTTGCATTGCTATGATGAAATACCTGAGACTGGGTAATTTATAAAGAAAAGAGGTTTGATTGGCTCACAGTTCCGCAGGCTATACAGGAAGCATAGTGGCTTCTGTTTCTGGGGATGCCTGAGGAAATATACAGTCAGGTGGAAGCAGGCATGTCTTCCATGGCTGGGGCAGGAGCAAGAGAGAGTTGGGGCAGGTGCCACACAGTTTTAAACAACCAGATCTCACAATAACTCACTCACTATCAGTAGAACAGCACTGGGGGGGATGGTGCTAATCCATTAATGAAAACTCCACCCCCATGATTCAATCACCTCCCAGCAGGCTCCACCTCCAACAATGGGGATTACAATTTGAGCTGAAGTTTGGTGGGGACACAGATCCAAACCATACCACCTCCTTTTAAAAAATACGTATCTGTGTGAGGTTGAATGTGTTTAATATATTTCAACAAATCAAGATAATGGCTTTAATGAAGAAGTAGACATAAGAATCCCACACTAGCCCTCACTAAAGGTTTGTTTTAGTTTGAGTAGCGATATGATTTGGATGTTTTGTCCCCTTCAAGTCTCATGTTGAAATGTGACCTCCAATGTTGGAAAGTGGGCCTACTGTTGAAATGTGACCTCCAATGTTGGAAAGTGGGCCTACTGGGAGGTGTTTGGGCCATGGGGGCAGATCCCCCATGAAGGGCTTAGTGCTGCCCTTGCAGTAATGAGTGAGTTCTCACTCTAGGAATCCATGAGAGGTCTAGTTGTTTACAAGAGCATGGCACCTCCTCCCTCTCTCTCTCAATCACTCTTGTCATGTGATGCACCAGTTTCCCCTTTGCCTTCCGCCATGATTGTAAGTTGCCTGAGGCCTCACCATAAGCAGATGCCGACATCATGCTGTTTGTACAGCCTGCAGAACCGCCAGCCAAACAAATCTCTTTTCTTTATAAATTACCCACCCTCAGGTATTTCTTTATAGCAGTCCAAATGGAGTAATACAAGTAGCTTTGTTCTACTAAGCACTGGGGGTTCAAATATGAGTAAATACTTATTTACTTGGCTAACATATACTTTTCTCCAATAAATTTTTGCTAGTCACCTATTCTGGAAATATTTTTTCACTCACTTTCTTCAACAAATGTGATACCTCAAAGCCCCACAGTTGGTAAAGGTCATTTTTAAACAGAATGTTACATTTTATATATAGATAAATATTATATATATACTTTAAATATACAAATATGTTTTCATAATAAGTTATAATGGATATCTTGTCATTTTAAAATATATTAATAAATATAATTGTAAATATTTCTTAGTTTAGTTTCTTATATGGTAAGTCTTGATAGGTATAACCCACCTTAAGAAAAGTCTTTGGGGTCTTCAATAAGTTTTAAAGGTGTGATGGTATGTTGAGACCAAAATGTTTGAGAATGGTCAGTATAGGGAAATAAGGAGCAATAAATTTCGTAGCAATTTCAATTTTAAGAATGGTCAGTATAGGGAAATAAGGAGCAATAAATTTCGTAGCAATTTCAATTTTAAGAGGAAAAGAGTGCACGTACATATTTATACAGTGATAAAAGTTCAAAAGAAGATACATCAAAATGTTAACAGTATGTAACTCTGGGTGATGAGATTAACTAACATTTTAAATTATTTTAAACCCATGTAGTTGGATTTCCCAAGTTCTATTTATGGGCCTGTTGTGCACTGGAATCTCAGGGTAGGGGTGATAGTTTCACAATTTGGAAAGGTCACAAGCTGTGTCCCCACCTTGAGCTCCCCATCTCCACCCTGCCCACACACCTTGTAGGCCATTTGCCTAAATAAAAGATGCGATCCGCATGCCTCATGATCTTCACGTTCCCTGTTTTGCTGATTCCCGTCTTTTATCATCTCTTCTCCTAGCCCTGCAGCACTACTCAACACTTTTATGGATGTGTCACATTGATACGGGGAGGGGGACAGGGAAGTGCTGGGTAGAAAAGGCAGGTCCCTGGTGAGGGCTCTACCCCCAGGACTGTGCCCACGGACGTAGGTGAGGACAAGCATTTTTGTTTTCTTGCCCAAATGTTGCATTTCCCAGACCATCCTGGCCTGTCAAGCCCCCATCCTGTGCGTATAAAAACCCCGAGACCCTAGCAGACAGACATGCAGGCAGCTGGACGTCGAGAGGAACACTCTGGTGGAAGAACACCCAAACAGACATCAGCAGAAGCCGGTAGACGCTGGCAGGCTGACCAGCTGAACGATGCGGAGTTTGGCCAGGGTGGTTGGAGGGGAGCCCAGCCACTGGGCAGCCCTACTCCGGAGGAAAACCACTTTCCCAATCCATTCCCTTCTGGCTCCCCCGTCTTCTGAGAGCTACCACCACTCAATAAAAACCCTTGCAGCCATCCTCCAAGCCCACGTGTGATCCAATTTTTCCAGTACACCAAGGCAAGAATCCAGGAAACAGAAAGCCCTCTGTCTTTGCCATGAGGCAGAGGGTCTAATGGAGCTGAATAACACAAGCTGCCTACAGACAGCTAAACTGAAAGAGCACACTATAACACACGCCCACTGAGACGCTGTAAAAACTCAACCCTAGACACTGCCATGGGGTCGGATCCCCACAACTTGCCTGTCTGCGTGCTCCCCCTAGAGGTTTGGGCAGCGGGGCATCGACGGAGCAAGCCCCACACACCCATTGCATGCTCTGCAAGAGCAATAAAGGGACTTTTCCCATTTCAACATTTTTCTTAACTCTTGGATTTGCTTTTGAATCCCTTTCTCATTGACCAGAACCTTTGCTAACTCCAGAACCAGACTGACCACTTCTCTGCACGTCACTGTGCATTGTGCATTTTACCATGAGGGTGTCTAGTACTTTCTCTCCTTGCAATAAAATATTTTTCCAACTAGATTGCTCTATATGCAAACTCACTCTACTTTCCTTATTAAATTCTCTCAGACATATAATCTCTTGGGTTGAAAATGAATTGCAGTACTGCTGTCTTTGTGATTGCCCTTAGCAACCACCTAGCAACTTGCTTCTTAAATATTTTTCAGACAATTAAAAGTTGACAACCTATGTAAGAATCTGTCCAGAAAAATGGACTTAGTGGCATCTATTTATTTACATTCATGTCTCTTGAAGATTAACTTCCCATGGGCAGAGCCAAAGTCTTTTATTTTCCAACTTGCTTAGGAAACATTATTTGAGCTCCAACTATATGCCTTATCCCCTACCACAGAGCTACTCAGAGTGTGGTTTATGTATGGTTTTGGTCTTATCTGGATATGGTTCCAGGATCAGATAAGTATAAGAACAGAGAATAAATGCTTAGAAACATTCATAGCAATTTGACAGAGTAATTTTATGTCTGTTGATGATAAGAATAAGAAAGTTGGACTAATATTTTATGTGTCTTTTTATTTCCTGTTTCTTTTTTTAATGTGTGGCTTTAAGGAGTAGAGAGTTTAATAGGCAAGAAAGAAGGAAGAAGGTAGAAGAAAGAAGCTCCCCTGTACAGAGACAGAGGGAGGGGGTCTCCTCCAAAGCTGAAAGAGGAACCCCCCCCTTCATTTCTGGTTTCTAAGAATTATTTTTATTATATTTTACAAAACATTGGAGTATAATGGATTGGAAACAAAACAAAAAACAAAAAAACAAAAACAGAGATATTCCTTCAACACACAGCATTTGAGTGGCTCTGTTCTATTGACAGGGATATGAGTAAATATTGACTTACATGGTTGACTTCTATTTTTCATTCAACATGCTTTTGCTGGCTATCTCTTCTAAAAATAGTCTTTTCTCTTCCTTTCCCCTTATGAATGTGATATCTCCGAGTTTCCACAGTTGGAAAGGTCCAGGTACTGTCTAACCTTCTCTGATCATAAGGAAATATTTTTTCCCTACAAATGGCTCTATATGAAAACTCACCATAATTTTTTATTGGGTTCTTTGAGACACATAATCTGTTTGATTGAAAACTAATTCAATGTTGAAGTTAATTATCAGCTTTCATGATTTCCCTTAGCAATCACCTAGCAGCTTCCTTTTTCCTATTTTTTAGACAATTTAAACTTAACAGCCTTATGTTAAGAATCTGTCTAGAAAAATGGTCTTATTTCATTATGACTCCTGCATATCCACAAATTCCTTTACATATATCTCATTTTGGGTTTATTAATACATTTAGTTAAACTGTTCTGAATCTATGAACAATTTCAGCTTTTAGAACAATGGAAACATTGCAAAAAGCAATAAAACTGCATTTTCTTGTAGTTATTTTAAAATAACCTATTTAAAAACAAATTCTAGGCATACAAAGATACAATTAGGATTTTATTCGATTTCTTAAAAGTGATCTTTCTCTATTAAATTCCTAGTCAATTGCTCACCGTTTTTTCATCCCTGACCTGTGTTCTATTCACAGTAACCATGCAATTCTGAAGCTGACCCAAGTGTTCCATAGAGCTGATGTTTATAGTTTCTTTGACTAAACATAGAAATTGATATTTGTCTTATCTGAGTTCCTTTCTTGGGAAACCAACCATCAGGCCTCCAAGATAGTATCAAGGACCTGAAACTCATCAGACCACTGGATCTGGAAAATGAGATGTCAGACCCCTCACCCATTACAATTTTCCAACTGACCACCTGCCCCCTTTTGACCAGCTCCTCTTCCTTACCCCTCTCTAATTCCTGTTTTCCCACAGATGGTTATATTTCTTCCCTGCTACTCCCTGATTTTAATTGGTCAGGGAGATGGATTTGAGACTGATCTCCCATCTCCTTGGCTACAGAACCCCATTAAAACCTTCTTCCCTGGCAATACTTGTTGTCTCAGTGATTGGCTTTCTGTGTGGCAAGCAGCAGGGCCTAGACCAAACCCCTGGTGTTTCAGAAACAATTCCCTGTCACAGTCTGTGCCACACACATATACACAGGCTGTTCTATTTTTTGGGGTGCTCTTCTTTGACACTTGGTGGATTTCAATCCATGAGTCTAGGTTGGAGTGATACAGCACCTCTGCACCAACCCTTTCTCAACCTTCCATATTATCATTACCTTCAAACCAAAGACTGTCTCTCCTTTTCCAGTGCTTTCTATGAAGTGATTGTATATGTTTGATATATGCTTATTGCAGTATTGAGATTATTTGCTTTTATATATACCTCCTCCATTAGAGCATAAACTATTATTTATTCTTATATTCCTAGCCCCTAACACAGTGACTAGCAAATAATAGGTGCTTAACAGATGTTTGTCAAAAAATATAAGAATGAATTGCTAAGAGTTTCTGACTTATGTGTTTCTTTTTTGAAAAGATGAAAATCAACTGGTCTTTGAAGAACTTTGATTCATTAGTGAGCTTGAAAACCCAACACAATAAACAGATAGTGGAAGTGGAAGGAGTATCCCTAAGGATGCATTTAAGGAGAAATGATGTGACAGAAGATTTGAAAGCAAAAAAGAATCTATCAGGAAGATAAGAAAGCAATTATTAAACAAAAATTAAGAAGCCAATCGCCCTCCCAAGTTTCTACCCCTTGGTAACATTACTGATTCACACTAGTCAAAAGTGCTGAATAATTTGCTACATGCCATTGGAAAACTATATAACTTACTACTAATAAAACACCTCACTTCTTTTTACTGTCTTTCTTCATTTACCCAAGTCACCTCTTTTAAGAGCCATCTTTGATTTGCCTACAACACATTCATCTACACTGATTGCTTGTACAAGAAAACAATGCAACCCAGCAATGTCAGAGACTGAAAGGTTGTCTTCTTGCTGTGTAAGATTTACTGTGAATAGAGGGAGGATGTGGAAAAACGCTACAACCATTGCTCCAGGGACTATCTCTGCCAAACAGAGATATTATACTGACGAAATGATAATGGTGAAATAGCTGTCAGACCAAATAATTAGAATATGGAGCCGTAATACAGTAAAGTAGTCTTCATATATTTTATACAGTTTGTATTGTTCTATAGGTTGCTTGGAGTTTGTGTCCAGTGAAAATGGATTTAGAACAACCTGGGATACTTAGTAATAACAACGCACAAACATGTGTATACACACCAAAGAAGTGTGCATTATTCAATAAATGTGTTCCTGATATGTTGCATGTAAACTGATTTTGTATGGTCAAATAATATCTTAAATGATCAAGGAATTGATTAAAGAAATATGAGATATTAGTTACAAAAGGAAATCATTTTGAAATACACGTGAAATTTTAAATCATGTTTCATCAATAAATATGATTATTACTTTTTTAAAAAGGGTTCATCATGCACTCATTTCTCTAAAAAAAAAAATGCAAGAGTGATATCCTTGTTAGTAACATTGGTAAATACATTTTCAGCTGCCAGACACTGCTTTTCAGGAACTTAGGGGCAGAATCTGTCACAAATATAGACATCCAAATTAAATAGTCTAAAGTGAGGGCAATATTGGAATGACTGAGCACAGTCCCTCTGCTTGTTTTGTTTGGTTTGGTTTGGTTATTCAGATAGGGTTTTGCTTTGTTGCCCAGGCTGGAGTGCAGTGGTGTGATCATTGGCTCACTATAGTCTCCAACTCCTGGGCTCAAGTGATCTTCTCCCTCAGGTTCTGATTTTGCACCTGCCCAACACGTTATTTATAAAATTCCCACAATGTGTTAGGGAAGATGCAAGACGCACAATACTGTCCCTACTTTCCAGAGGTTTTTCAGCAAATACAATTACAACAAATGAGCCCCAGACTTTGTTGTTTTAACCATCAGTCAGTTGTGTAGTTAAGACCAGCACACAGATAAAGTTGCCGAGTGTCTCATCTAATCATGAATTGTAAATTAGGCATCTTTTTAATTTTTAAAATGAGCATTAACTCTTTCAGGGAGTTGTAATGCAAAGATAAGTGTAGAGCACTACTCAGTCAAATTACAGACACCCTAAGAACTGAAAGATTTAATGCCAAGTTACACTGCAACTAGGGAATACTTAGGACCCAAAAGAACTAAGCTCAATATTCTATTTAAATCATAGAATTTCAGACCTGGGAAAGGATCTTAAAATAATTTATTATTTCCCATTATGTTGTGGGTGTGAATGGCTCATAAAAGAGATTAACTTTGGGCAACACAAAGATTATAATTTCATAGTTAAATTTCATATTAAAGGTATAATGAAAAATAATACGTATTTAGACAGAATCTTGCTCTATCACCCAGGCTAGAGTGCAGTGGCCAATCTCCAATCTTAGCTCACTACAACCTTTGCCTCCTGGGTTCAAGCGATTCCCCTGCCTCAGGCCCCCAAGTAGCTGGTGCATGCCACCATGCCTGGCTAATTTTTGTATTTTTTTTTTTTTTTTTTTTTTTTTAGTACAGACGGGGTTTCACCATGTTAGCCAAGCTGGTCTTGAACTTCTGGCCTAAAGTGGTCTTCCCACCTTGGCCTCCCAAAGCACTGGGATTACAGGCATGAGCCACAGCACCCAGTCATAATGGAAATATTTTTAAATGGCACATCAAACCCATGACTTCATGAATATTTTTGCTTAGGAAAGAGCAAAGTAAAAAGACAATTTCAAAAAATGAAAAAAAAAAAAGGCTTATCCATGTTTCTGTGATACACTGTTTCCATTTCAAAATAAATGTGGCCCGCCAGATGTGGTGGCTCATGCCTGTAATCCCAGCACTTTGGGAGGCCGAGGCGGGCAGATCACCTGAAGTCAGGAGTTCCAAGACCATCTTGGCCAACATGGTTAAACCCCATCTCTACTAAAAACACAAAAATTAGCTGGGTGTGGTGGCGTGCGCCTGTAGTCCCAGGTACTCGGGAGGCTGAGGCAGGAGAATCGCTTGAACCTGGGAGGCGGAGGTTGTGGTGAGCCGAGATCGTGCCTCTGCACTCCAGCCTGGGTGACAATGCGAGGCTCTGTCTCAAAAAATAAATAAATAAAAATAAAAAATAAATGTGGCCAGGCACGGCGGCTCAGGCACATGATTCCAGTACTTTGGGAGGCCCCGGCAGGAGAATCACTTGAGCCCAGGAGTTTGAATCCAGTCTCAACAATACAGCAAGACCATGTCTGTACAAAAAAAAAAAAAAAAAAAAAATAGCTGGGAGTGTTGGGTACATGCCTCTGGTTGCAGCTATTAAGGAGGCTAAGATGGGAGAATTACTTGAGCCTGGGAGCTTGAGGCTGCAGTGAACCATGATTGTGCCCTTGCACTTTAGCATGGGCAGCAGAACAAGACCCTGTCTCAAAAAAAAAAAAAAAGAAAAAGAAAAAGAAAAAGAAGGTTAAAAAAAAAAACACATAACATCATATGTAGTCATGGTGTAAATTGTGGGGGTAGCCTATAAATGATAGAAGTTTGGATAAAACTGATTTATGCCAACTTCCTCATTTTATACATAAGAAAATATATATTATCAACATTATTTCCTTCCCTACTGCCCAAATAAGCTTTCCTCTTAAGTTTTCAGATCTCAGCATTATCAACTGTGCAGTCACCTAAGTATAATACTCTGGGATCATCTTTGATGCTTGCTTTTTTTTTTATTTTCTCACTTTCTGTATTAAATGAGAAAATATAAAAATTTAATTTTATAATTAAATTTTATATTAAAGGTATAATGAAAAATAATACATATTTAGACAGAATCTTGCTCTAACACCCAGGCTAGAGTGCAGTGGCCAATCTCCAATCTTAGCTCACTACAACATTTGCCTCCTGGGTTCAAGCGATTCTCCTGCCTCAGGCCCCCAAGTAGCTGGTGCATGCCACCATGCCTGGCCAATTTTTGTATTTTTTTTTTTTTTTTTTTTTTAGTACAGATGGGGTTTCACCATGTTAGCCAGGCTGGTCTTGAACTCCAGGCCTAAAGTGGTCTTCCCACCTTGGCCTCCCAAAGCACTGGGATTACAGGCATGAGCCACAGCACCCAGTCATAATGGAAATATTTTTAAATGGCACATCAAACCCATGACTTCAAACCCATGACTTGTATTAAGCAATCACTGCTGCTCAGGTTCAAGTCCTCATCATCTCTCATCTAACTCGTCTGAACAGGCTTATGCCCTCTAGACTGAAAATCTCTTTCTCAATCTTTTAAAATCTATTCTCACACTCTGCATTCTTCTCTTAAACACAGACATGCTCTTGTCTTCTTCTGTTTAGAGCACTTGCCTTGTTCGTATCAGTTAGGGCCCTAGCAGGAACCAGCTGACATACTTAAATTGGAAAATTTGAGTTTTTGATAAAGTGGCAATTTACGAAGGTGTGGTCAGAATAAAGTGAAATCATAAGTGATGTGCATTGGGCTGGGCTAAAAATATAAGGCCTGTTACCACCTTAAGCTGGAGGAAAGAAGAAGGAGAAGGAGGAGAAGGAGAAGAAGAAGGAGGAGAAGGAGGAAGAGAAGGAGGAGGAGGCAGAGGAGGAGGACGAAGAAGAAGAAAGGAGGATGAGGAGGAGAAGGAAGAAGAAGAAAGGAGGAGGAAAAGGAAGAAGAAGGGAGGAAGAGGAGGAGGAGAAGGGAGAAGTAGAAGAAAGGAGGAGGAGGAAGAAGAAGAAAGGAAGAGAAGGAGAAGGAGGAAGAGAAGAAGGAGGAGGAGGAGAAGGATGAGGAGGAAGAGGAGGAGGAA